>NC_000006.12:96737456-96888971 GCF_000001405.40 Homo sapiens | reverse complement strand
GTTGCCTTTGTAAGATTATGAGAATTAATGAGATGTCATGCAAAGTGCCTGAGGCATATGAGGACAGGACTACTCAATGCTCACCGTATATGAGAATCATCTGTAGAATTCTGGGAAAATACAGATGTCTGCTGTGAGAGGCTGGTGTAAGTCTGGGAGACGCCTGGGTTCATGGATTCTGGATCACGGGTGTTTAAAAAATATCTATGACCAGTGCCACCAGCATGTTCCAAATTGCTGATCACTTGTGCAGGTGAAATAGCATTCTCTGGTCTAAAGTTTATTGTGAAAGAAGGTAAGGATCAGAGAATAGACAGAAGGGTGGCCTTGAAGGAGTTTGAAGAAAGGAAGCTTTCCAGATGATGGAAGGGAGAAGGAAAGAATTTCAGGAGATTCAAAGATTTGGGGATAGGGTGAGGAGAGGAAGGAAGGAGATTAATAGACTGGACAGGAAAGCCAGGATCCAGGGAGCTGATAGAGGAAAAGCTCTCAAGAAGGGAGAAGCCTTCTACAGCAAAGTGGGTGGATTTGGGAAAATTCTACCATAAATAAATAGGATGACCATATAATTGTTTGCCCAAACTAAGATACTTGAAAAGGGACACCAATTACATCATGATAACAGGGACAATAGGCATAAACTGGAATGTCCTGGACAAATTAGGAGGTTTGATAATCCTAACTGCAAGAGGCACTGTTGGAGGACTTAAAGGCCACCTGCGAGCTGGATGTAACTGTCTTGGCTCCAACTTGCCAAGGTTTAGCATCTCACCATCACTCAGGAATGATTCCTGTCTGTACCGGGGGGCTTTGCTTCGTCCCCAAATACTTGTGTATGGACATCCCCTCTTCTGTATTTACTCAATGCCCTCAAAACACCCATAATCTCAAGAAAAGGAGAGTGGGGCCCTGAGCATTTAGTATGAGGAGGCATCTAATACCCATACTTGGAGGGATTGAACTGAAGGGCTCAAAGCACCCTGAATTGGGGCTGTGCTTAAAGATAGCCTGTTGGCTACAAGTTGAAAATATACAAGAAAAGAACAAGTATAAAGGATTAAAATGGTTTTATGCACCTCAAATAGCCATCACTCATTGTTTGATAACTATTTTGTCTCAACAAAGACCAATCTATGAAACAGTCTGAGAGAAGGAATGTATTTTTTTGTTTTTTTGTTTTTTGTTTTTTAGTGTGGATGCTCCATTTCTTCTGCTTCAGGAGTAATAGGACTGTATTACTTATTAGAAGGAATGGTGAAAATCAGAAGCACTTATTAGGTATAAATCCCTATGTAAAAATCCCTATGTATTAGGTATAAATCCTTATGCTTTAAATTCAGAGCATTTGGGTCACGAATTCCAGGTACTCCCATACTTTTTTTTTTTTTTTTTTTGCCACTGTCAGTGCCCCAACAATAAAACTAAATCTTGGGAGCACTTGTGAATAGAATTGTAGAAGAGGGGCTCACTAGTTAGAAGAGTAGAATCCTGAGCAGAGCTGGAGTTCTGTATTTTTCAGTGTATTGATATTGTAAAATATATAGTAGGTAACATCAAAATTCCTTCCTTCTCTGCTTCCTGTGAGGAAAAAGGTAACAAGGAAGTCATTGTAAAGATGAATAATTTGGGAATACGAATTTAGTTAAAATGGGATAAGCCAGTACCTGGGAATTGAGAAGTAATCCCTGAGATGAAATGGATGACAGTAGAGTTGATGAGCAGGGAAATTCCTCAGTTACATGAGAGATAATAACCTTTGGAAAGGTTATCTAATTCTTAAACAGAAAAGTTACCTGACTGACAATCAACTCTGCTTATGGTTGAAATGCAAGCAAAGTAATAATTTATATATAGGATTATTGACATCCACATATGGAAATAGAAGGGGCCACTGAGGAAAAATAGATCAATTTCTAAAATAAGCCTTGGACCTTTTTTATTTCCAGAAGAATAAATATTGATTAATATGTATTTGGTAGTAAAAATTCCATTTAGAGCTAATGATATTTGAGCAATTTTGCCATGTGTGTCTGCTTTATAGCATTTTGTATGGGGAATATCATAGCCAAAGTTTTCTCTGAATGTCTTCCTGCATTTCAGGGTAAGCATAACACAAATCACCTAATACTTTAACTGAACTATATAATAATTACTACATGTATTTTAGAATTAGTTTTAATTTCCTTTCATTTTTCAATGATCCTGTTACACAACCAGGCGATTTGTATGTTTATGTGTAACATACCAGTATGTTATTGTGTAATATTTAAATTTTACTTTTTTACTTTTAATTGTTTTCAGTATATGGCATTATGATTTGCCATGTCTTTATATGGTTTGGCAAGTATAGAAACAGATGCTGTTTTTTAATTGCCCATGTAAGAAACAATACAAATGAGCTCCTATTTATTATTCACATTATTTTTAGGTGTAGGGAAATACTTGCATAGAGTCATAGAGTATTCAACTCTGATTGACTTTGCTTATTGCTCCTTAGGCCATTATCCATTCATTATTCAATCATTTCTATATTAGTCCTTCCTCTTCTGGTGCTGGCTCAGAACTGATGCTATGGCTTCAGATAAGGAGCATAGAAATGGGGAAAAGCCATTTAAAATGCGTCTTGTAGAAAGAAAGGGGGATAGAGAGAGAGATTGATTTATTACATTTTGCTTTACAAATATCTCAGAAATCCTGCAACACCACCAAAGAAAAAGAGTACCTTGTCTCTTCTTAAATTGTTCTTTTGTTGCATCTTTTTCTTTCATCACCAACCCTGATATTTCTGGAGGAATAATAAAAGGTAAGACAATATTTTTTAAAGACCCAATTTAAGAGATTGTAAAGCCTCGAAACAACATTCTTAATAAAGCCTTTAAATATTTAGGTTACCACATTCTATTTTTTTCAGAGACCCATTTCTAGGTAGGTCAAATGTGCAATCTACTTCTGAATATAGATTTAAGATTAATAGCATTTTTTAAAACTTTCTCTGCTTGCACAAGTTATTAAGCAAAAAGAAGGCAAACATTTCAACTTTGCTTAATAGCTGTTTAAAAGATAAGTGGCTTTTCAAATTCTTTTCTCAAATCAATAATATTACCAGTTGTTCATTCATCACAAATATTTATTGATATGCCCATTATGTGCCAGGCACTTATCTAGAGGCTGGGGATACTGCATGGAAGATAACAAAGTTCCAAGTCTCATGGAGCTTAAGTTTTATACTGTTAGCTGCTATTCAGTTATCTATTTCTCCATAACAAACCATCTCAAAACCTAGCAGCTTAAAACAATTCATTATTATCTCTCATGATTCTGCAGATTGAAGAACCATTGAAGCTCAGCTAGATGGTTTTCCCTTGGGATCTCTCATGTAGTTGCAGCTGGGGCTGTTGTCGTCTGAAGGCTCACCTGGGCGGGACATTCAAGATAGCCTACTCTTATGGCAGCATTTGATAATGTTTGTTGGCTGAGAGTTCAGCTAAGGCTATAGACTGGAGCATCTATAGGCAGCCTGTTCATGTGGCATGGGCTTCTTATAGCATAGTGATTGGCTGGGTTCAAAAACAAACATTACAGAACAAAGAAAGTGAAACTGTCAGGTCAGCTGCTGCTGCTGCTGCTTTTTTTTTTTTTTTTCCTTTGAGATGGAGTTTCGCTCTTGTTGCCCAGGCTGGAGTGCAATGATGCAATCTCGGCTCACTGCAACCTCTGCCTTCCAGGTTCAAGTGATTCTCCTGTCTCAGCCTCCCAAGTAGCTGGGATTACAGGTGCCGGCCACCACACCTGGCTAATTTTTCATATTTTTAGTAAAGACAGGGTTTCACCAGGTTGGCCAGGCTGGTCTCAAACTCCTGACCTCAGGTGATCCACCTACCTCGGCCTCCCAAAGTGCTGGGATTATAGGCATGAGCCACTGTGCCTGGCCTGTCAGCTTCTTTAGGCCTGGGCTTAGACACTGGCAAAGCATCACTTCTTTATTCTATTTGTCAGAGTAGTCACAAAGTCTGCCTTGATTCAAGTGTAGGGAACATAAACCGCAGTATGGGAAAAGTGTCAAAGAACTTGTGGCCATCTTTGCCCTTTGCAGTGCATCGTATCAGGAAATACATGATGTCAATTTGTCTCATTTTGATGATGTTAACTTTGATAGCTTGGCTAAGGTGGTATCTGTCAGATTTTCACTATAAAATTACTATTTTTTGTGGTTAATAAGTTATTGCTTAGGAAAGGGCATGAGAAGCTCTGGAAGTGTTCTCAATCTTGATCTTGGTAGCCATTGCGTTAGTATATGCAAATGTACAAATACATCAAGCTGTACATTTCAGAATAAAGCATTTTACATACATTAGTATATTGTGTTTAATACTTTAATAAAAAAGAAAAAAATTAAAAAATTAAATTCACCATTTTTACCTTCATATCTTGCCCTATTGTGCATCCTTTGGTTGTTTGGACAGTGATCCCACTAATCTCCCAATTACAAAGACTGCAAAACTCAGACACAATGACTGTTCTGTAATTCGCCCCTGCCACCAGCTTCCTGCTTCAGTAATGACTCTCTATAATTCAGTTTTCAACTAGCACTCAGGCTAATTTTTCCAAAAACACAAATATGAAAATGCTGCTCCTTTGTGATAAATTCATTCTATCATCTTAGGATAAAATCCAAGTTCCTTAAGTTGTAAGGAACTCCGTGCCTACTTAATCTCTCCAAACTCATCTCTCACGACTTTCTCAGTGTGAACTCCAGCTTTCCTAAGTTTCCTACCGAGATATGTATTTACCTATGACCTAAAATGCAGAATAATACTTCAGAGATTTATTGAATGGCAGTTTAGTTCAATTCTAGCTAGTGAATATTACTGAGTGTTAATTTGGTGCAAGGCTCTGAGCTATGTAAGAGTTATGATAAAGAATAAAAATAGTCCCTCGCTTGCTAGTTGGGACAAGAGAAGTGTGCAGATTACCCCATTACAGGGCAAAATTTAGTAAGTGCTGTAAGTATAAACACAATGCAATGGGGAATCAAAGGTGTGAGAGATGAAACCCCTGTTGAGCATGACTTATTTGCCTGAATTAATGGTACTGTCCCAAGAAAAATGAATGGAGCTGCAGCTGCCATTTAAGGGGAAAAAGAATACAAAAGTAATTACTTCACCAAAGAATTCAGGTTCCCAGCAATCCTAGTCCCTTTGTGTGGCTGGTGTATTTGGTGACTATGCATGTGGAAGGTCTTCCACTCCCTGTGAATACACTCCAGTTCTTGAGAGGCTATTTAAGTATTCATCCTTTGTGTGGTTTTGATTTTCCTATGCTGGTAGATATTGTTAGCATTTTGATTTTCTCTTTGCAGAGCACTGCTGTGGCTGGTACAGTGGAGGCTGGCACTCCACCTTGATGCTCACTGTGGGGCTTTTGTGCAGAGTCTGTTATCCTCAAAGAGCCCTCTTTAATGTTTACAGAGAAGGTGTGACCTCTAGCAGAATCTCAGAGCTTCACATTTTATTAGACACCTAATGTTCTTTCTATACCTACTATTTATATTTATGTGCATTGGAATCCTTTGGCTATATAGCTGCTATAGAAGAGCCAACTGCATTAGCTTGCTCGGGCTGCAGAATAAAATATCACAGACTGGGTAAATTAAACAAACAACAGCAATTTATTTCCTCACAGCTCTGGAGGCTGAAAGTTTGAGATCAAGGAGTTGGCAGGGTTGGTTTCTTCTGAGGCCTCTCTCCTTTGTTTGTAGATGACCATTTTTTTCTCCCTGTGTCTTACATGGTCTTTCCTCTGTACCTGCTTATATGCTAATCTTCTCTTTTTATAAGAACACCAGTCATATTGGATTAAAGCCCACCCTAACGACCTCACTTAACCTTAAGTACCTCTTTAAAGGCCCTATCCCCAAATATAGGCACATTCTGAGGAATTAGAGTTTCAGATTTCAACATATGAATTTGAGGAGTTGGGGACACAGTTCAGCCCATAACACCAACTTGTGTCAGATTTTAGCTGCATATGTTTATTTAAGGGCACAAGTTGATCTTGGTGCATTTTGCATAGCATAAAGTTCAGGCTAGTTTATGCTGCAATTGAGACTGAATATTTCTGTTAATGATAATTGGGACATCTGCTCATTGAAGCATTGTATAGCACTGGATGATATCTTAATCAAAATTGAGTCTAGTTCCCTCATTTTGCAGGGTCAGGTCTGGTGTCTAAATTCAAACAGTTAAAAGCAGAGTCTAGAACGCAGCATCCTGTTCCCTGATCCACCATGCAGTGTTTCACCTACCCTGTAATAACACCTTAATTTCCTGAAGATGATCTGGAGATGCTGGATGACTTCAGAGTTTCTTTCTTGTCATCAGAAATAAAATCAATAGTAGGTATAGTTTTTGGTTTAAGAGTTCTAATTGTGTTCTGGTGCTTTGAATATATTTGCAACTCATATTTAATATTTATAGTAATTTTACATAAGTGAATTAGCAGTTTTAGAGCATGTTAGCAAGGCACATCTGTGTTCAGTTATCAGCTTCCCCACTACTGGAAAGTTATTTAAACATTCTCAAGTTCATTCTCCCACCAACAAAGGTCACCCACTATTTATATAGCCGTGACGATATGTCAAACTAACCAGAAATAAGTGTATGAACTTCATGGTCTTCAGAATAAAACACAACCCACATTATAATAACAATGAAATTGCCCTACCGTAATTGTGATAATGATAAAGAATTGATTTCTGGATCTCTAGAATTATCTTCTCTAGCTATTATTGTCTTCATGGCTTTGTAAACTTAAATCCTCTCTTATGCCCCCCAGTTTGTAAACTTGTATTACAATTTTGAATTTTTTTCAGAAACTATAGTATGCTTTATTAGTATAAAATAAAGTGATTTTACCTTGTAAGAATTTAATTAATTAGAAAGAGCAGAATTCTGTAACATAAAATTTTAATTTAAAAGAAATGTCAAACTTGACTTGTGATAATAGATCATGAGAGATACTATGAGATATAAGACATTGGAGAGAAGATTAATTCATAATGATTTAGCTTGATACATAGTATAATATAGTCAGACTCCATCACTTGGAATTTTTTTTTGCTTGTACTGGACAGAAGCAGATCATTTTAAAAAGTGATCTCAAAGAAAGCAGTTATTTTGAGTTTAAAAACTCAAATTGTTTTGAGTTTTTAAGAGCAATTTATCCTCCACAACAAGTTAAAGAATTTAGTATATTGCAATGTATTTGAGGAAATTATGCTAATTACAAATGCCATGATTATGTATTATTTCCTCAACTGGACTTCTATTTAGAAAGTCCAGTTTATATATCCTAGTTTGTCCTGTGAATTTACAATGGATAAAACTGCATGCCTTTAAAAGTATGCTATAGCTCAGAAACTTGTCATTCGTACAGTTTTTCCTTTTGCTAGCTTGATTTGAGAGATTTCAAATCAATTATGACAAATTTTACTTCAGCGATGGCAAATTTTTAACGAAACTAATAATCTATAGGAAACCCAGAAGCAAAACCTTTTATTCCTTTGTAGGATAGTATCAATATATGAACCATTGTGTTTATAATGATAATAATATTACCATGGTACATATTTACAGTGTTTGTTATTTGCCTGACATCATGCTAAGTACTTTCCTTTCCTTATTTCATTTTATCCTCAAAATTATTCTATATGGTGGTTTCTTCTATTATCTCCACCTTACAGATGAGGAAACAATATTAGAGTGCTGAGTACTTACTTGACCCCAGGCTGTATTAGAAGTCAGTGGGGGAGGGGCTATCCCAGATGTGATTCCTCTCCAAAGTCCTCATCTTGACCACGGTAGGAGGTGGGGGCTGCCTCACCATCACTACACCTGTATTCTACTTGTAATTCTCACTAGCAAGGGAGACTCTTTTTAACTTCGAGACCGGGAATGAATATAACCAATGCATACAGCAAAGATTCCCAGAGACATAAATTTCAAAGGGATATGATATATCACAGTGACTCTTACAGGGGAAGTGGTCATTGGGTATAGCATAAAAGGAGAAATAGGAATTCACTGTGGAGGAAACTTTAGTATAGAGGGGACGTATGTGCCAATGCATAGAGATGAGACAGAGAATGTGGGAATGACCAGTTATTTTACCCAAATCTGGGTCAGTGGTGTGCCTTGCATTCTTTCATCCCACATAATTCTGCTCCCTACAAAGGATTGTGCATTTGATTACTTTCACAGGCTTCAAACACCTAGACTATCTAGTACTGCTGGAGAGTATCTTTCCATTTCCAGACTCTTATGCAGTCTTGCTATTTGCCTCATCTTTGGTGAGCCCTTGAGGTGCACACTCATGGTTCTGTGAGGTATCCTGGGTGATGGGATGCTGATGGAGGCTTTCAAATGCTGATTAATTAGACCTTCATAATTTAGGCATTTCATTGGCTCAGAGAAAGAAGGTCAGCCCCTAAAGGAGGCTCCTAAAGACAGGCACTGAAAGCCCTCGCTTCTCTGGACAACATCTTATTATATTTCTCATGGCATGTTGGTTGTTATGGTGATAGCAAAGGAGAGGAGGCTGAGCATGTATGGTTCAATGGAGGTTTTGCTTTAAGGAGAGGGAAGTAGTAGGCTCTAGAAGGTCCACTCTCATTAAATGGTCTTGGCTATCATGTCACCTGTATCTATGATGCTGGTATATGTTCCATACACAGCAAATACACCCAAGAATCCTCAAAACATAAGAAAAGGAATATGACATCCGTGCTTGTTTTCTTCCATCTAACTAGCCTCTGCCATCACTTAAACCTCCTGACTTGCATCTATAGTCCCATCCCAGAGGCAATACTGGTACATTACCTCTATTCTACTCTTTGTTAACAGCACTTAAAGTTTTCAAAATTATTTCTCCAGTTCTATCACTTACACATCTGGTTTTAACAATAATAATTAAAACACGAGTAAATATCTAACCATATTTAACCCTTCTTATTCTTTATGTCAGTTCAAATATTGTTTCTACTGACTTTGACTTCAAGCAGAATTAACTAATCCTATTGGTTTGGTCTCATAGAGAGACCTGAGATTCTAGAAAATGTACATGTTACCCCCAACCCCATACCTAACAGTTTTGAGTGAGAGGGATTTGAGTGGCCAGACGTCATATAGGGGCTTTCCTGAACTCTCTCCTTCCCAGCTGATTGTGATAGAATGTCTTTTTTTTTTTTTTTTTTTTTTGAGATGGTGTTTTGCTGTTGTTGCCCAGGCTGGAGTACAATGGTAGGGTCTTAGGTCACTGCAACCTCTGCCTCCCGTGTTCAAGCAATTCTCCTGGCTCTGCCTCCTGAGTAGCTGGGATTACAGGCTCCTGCCACCACACCCGAATAATTTTTGTACTTTTAGTAGAGACAGGGTTTTACCATGTTGGCCAGGCTGGTCGTGAACTCCTGACCTCAGGTGATCCACCTGCCTTGGCCTCCCAAAGTGCTGAGATTACAGGCGTAAGCCACTGTACCCAGTCTGATAGAATGTCTTTTTAAACAGACACCCTATCAGTCAGAACTTGGAGGCCATACAGTGCCCCTTCAAACAATTATGGGTATGAAAAATGAAAAATAGCCTCCCCCACACTCCCTGCTATATTAATTTAGGATTTGGAAGGAAGCTGGGAGGGGCTGGTCTAGATTTTGTTCTGGCCTACTTGAAACATCAAAGAATGAGACAAAGCAATTGGACACAACAGTATTAAAAACATCTTTGGTCAAAAGGTGAAGGTGGAGCAGCAAAAGTTTATCCTTTATCTTCTGACAATGGTCCTTCCTCATTGTCAGAGAGAGAAGGAAGGTAGGTTTCTTTTTGAAAAGGAAGACATAAAACGTTGTCAAGAATTTGAGGAAGGCAGTTTGAATTTTTCCTTGGATTTTCAAGAATCCTATTTGCATATATTAATACTTTTACTTATTCTAAAAATAAAAGAGGAAAATGATAGTTTTGAGGCTGGGTAAGCCAGGGATGAAGATACAGCTAAAAAGGTTTTAAAGTAATGCACATATCTGCAGCAGTCTTGATTTACTTTCACTGATATGTCAGAGAGGATGGAGAAAGGAGATTAAGCTATTTTCCTCCTCCAGGACTCAAACTCCTCTCTTTCCCAGCAATCTAATTTTCCTTTTTCAAAATTCCAACTTCGTGTTTATTTTTTTCAATGTAGTATACAATTTAGCCGATCATTTATCCTTCCTCATTCATCATGTTGTATACTTAGCTTAATAAACATCTTATTCTCAGAAGGATTCCAGAAGAAACTGAAGTCACAGAGGCTCATTTCCTTGCTTTACCTCAGAACAACACAGTAATATTACCTAGATATTTCTATTTTTACCCTATAATGAGGACACTCAATCTAAAATTGCACACAGCCCTGAGCTGCTACATTTTTGGTTCACTTTAACCTGAATAAGGGCTTCAGAGTTTGCTGAAATCAGATTCATGCCATGCTTGTTTCAAGGCAGTACATGGCTTGTTACTCTCAGAATTCAATGTTTATTTCTCATTGTAATGAAAAAGGCCCTCTGGCTGTCTAACCAGCTGTAATTTCTCACTAATCCTGAATAAACATTTCAAACCATAATGAGTCAGTGTTGAATTTTATGAAGAAAATGGAATTAAGAGTCAGAGTAATTTATAGCTGTACTGGCCACCCATTAAAGTTTTTCAACAAATGTGGGTGAAGCAAAAAGATGTAAGGCAAAAAGATGACTGTGGTTTTAAAAAATGTGGAATAACAGCTGAAAAAGATTGATGTTACCCTACTAGACTCCTCTGTGAAAGAAACAGGCAAAACTTCTGTCCTTGCTGGTATGAGACCTCCTACTCCACGGTAAGAAAACCTGCCATAAAGATGAGGTTGGATCCCCCAAAGTGGGCCTACATTTTAACCTAGGAGCTGACCCCGCAGGATCCACCACGGCCCACACCCTCCAACCCTCGAAGATGATGGGTTTTAGCCTGGAAGGAGAGCAACCCACAGAAGGTGATCCCTGTATCAAAGAGGCCTGGGCCCACATGCTCTCTAACCTGCACTTCCTTTGAGACACAGATAATGGTACCTTGGTGAGTGAAACCAGAGCATCAGTAAATTAAGAGCTCTCCTAGGTGTTTTGAAAGATCCTTCTCTGTATCCAATCTTTAATGCCCAGGCATTTGCTTGGGTATTGTCTTCCTGAGTCTCATGAAGTTCCCTTTTTACCCCGTGAAATAACAGGATACATTTTTAAAAAATAATTAAATGACCATTCAACATTTGAGCCAAAAGGAGTCAAATAAAAAACTTAAGCTTTTGAACTTTCCACACTTTCAAAGCTCTAGCCTTGGGACCAGAAAATGGCTTTCTTTGTTTGAAATTGTACATTTGGCTTATTAGTAGAATTTTGAGAAAGATCAGGGAGCCTCAGTATGCTCAATGATGGCACAGGAAGTTGGGCTTCCACAAGAAAGGGGAAAAGAGAAGCTTGAAAATTCAGTTAGTAAGCATGGGTTCTGAAGTGCATGAAGTTTTTGCAAAACCTGAATGCAAAAGCATTCAGCATTACTCCTTGGAGCGGGCACGGTGCCACACATCTTCTGAGTTGCCAGTTTCTCTGGAGCTTCCGTGCTCTCTTAGAGGAGAGAAAATTATGCTTAATTTTATATTCACTGGTTGGATTTCTTAAACCACTTTAAATATCAGAGCAGCATTCTTAACATAAACAGAAATGTTGTTCGGAACTGATTATTTAAATGAGTTTTTCACTTTCACAGGCTGGAACTCTTTCAGGAGATTTTGTTTCCAAAAGAACTTTAGAAAATACTAGCATAGATGTTTCATTAAACTAAGATGTGATAAAGGCCGGAATCCTTCTAAAATTACCGATTATAAATCTTCAGAAAAACGGATGGCTTATACATATCGAATCTGTGCTTGAAAACATCATATTGCCAGAAGGCTGCGACTCAAATTCAGAGTAGAAAAAGAGATGCAAAATGTCTATCAGGAATGTTTAAAAATAATCAGGCTTTTTGGCAGAAAAGTAAAACTGGTCACTGAATTTTGGCTTCTCTAGTATACAACAATACCAACCTTAGATGCTGAAAAAAGACTCTTACAGAATGAATGGTTCCTAGCTAAAGAGAAATTCGATTGTTTTAAAATATACTGACATTTACATAATCTGTTTTGCTTAAAATGGCAGTGCCTTGTTTTAAAATAATGATGTTAGGCTCTTGAAAATGATTTGAATCTTGTATCTGAGGACACTATGATCATAAAATCTGACTCAATGAGGGAAGAAACATGTATCCTCATAGGCCCTACAGAGGAAAGCACCAGACTGACTCAAGTTTTTGCCTTATTTTTTCTCTTAACATTTTATAATGCAAGGGCATGTGTTTCAGGACACTTTTCAGCATCCCACTCCATGTATCTCTTTTTGGAAATTACAGCTGCCCCAGGGAGTGCTATTGTGGGTACCCCTGGAGGGAAGAAGGATTTTATGCAGCGTAAAAAAAGGAAAAACTCTATGTATATGTTTTTGATCTTGGTGTTTCCCTCTTTGACAGTAGATTGGTCTTTTATATTTCTGTATTTCATTAATATAGAACACAGAGAAATTGATCAGTAAATGATATTTATTTATTTATTTGAGTTGGAGTCTTGCTGTGTCACCCAGGCTGGAGTGCAGTGGTGCCATCTCAACTCACTGCAACCTCCGCCTCCTGGATTCAAGCGATTCTCCTGCCTCATCCTCCTGAGTAGCTGGGATTACAGGAGCCCGCCACCACACCCAGCTAATTTTTGTACTTTTTAGTAGAGATGGGGTTTCACCATATTGGCCAGGTTGGTCTCGAACCCCTGACCTTGTGATCTGCCTGCCTTGACCTCCCAAAGTGCTGGGATTACAGGCGTGAGCCACGGCGCCCGGCTCAGTAAATGATTTTTGAATGAATAAATGAACACTTCAGACCATAACAGATCCACATAGACAGAATCCAGCCTGTATCATACTACAATTAATATAACACATTTTAAATAATAAATTGAAGGTGTTCCATTAAAAATGAAAAAGTTCAAAGCACATGTAAGCTAAGAATTGTTTTTCTCTCATGTGTCTTTACAGTGTCACTGCCACTTAGTAGACGTTACTCTTTCTGGAGCAGTACTGGGGGAACCAAATTGTGCAAGACTTGATAAGCCATGCTGAAGAGTTTACAATTGATGCATTAGGCCCCAGGAAGCTCCCGAGCCATTCTGAACATCAAAAATAATTGATGAGAATAGTATGCATGGGATAATTGGGGCTGTGAAAGTGCTGGAAAGCAGGAAGATGGGGTAGTAATTTATTTCGACTCGTTCAGTTGTTGCAGGAACAAGAACTGGTCTTAGATGGTGTCAGTAGAAATGGAGAAAAGATGGATATTAGAGGTATTTTGAAAAATTACAAATTCCTTGCAGGCCAGAATTTTGTTTTACTTCTGTCTGTGCCTGTCCCATCACCCCAACATCAGGGGTGCTAAGAACCTGATAGGCATATGTTGGAGTAAATTGGACTGTGTGACAGGACATAGTGAGTGAAGATTAAATATATAGCAATAATGCCTACAATGCCAATGGTGGGCTGCTTAGAATTAATATTCAGTTAGATTTTTAAAAATGATTCCAATATACCAGGGAATAGGAAAATGGTGATATTCTTGAGATACTTTCCTGGCATAAAGGTCATAATTAAACACCAATTCCACATTTGCTTGCGGTACCTTTGAGCCTTCTCCAGACGGAATTGTTTCCTCCTCTGAGCTTCATGGACACTGTTCACTAAGCATATCATTGTGCATATCACATTGTATGGCTGTTAATTCACTCGTATTATAACTTCTTGAAGGTAGGGACCTAACCATGTTATTTTTAAAAAATTGAGGTATAATTATCACTCAGAAAAATACATAAACTATAAGTGTACAGCTCAGTTACTTCCTACTTATGTATATACCCATTGTAACCACTACCTAAAGGAAGATATTGAACATTTCAGTCATCTCAGAACATTCCCTCCTGCTTATTCGCAGTCAGTAATGCCTCAGCCTCGCCCCAGGTAACCACTGTTCTAACTTCTATTGTGTAGATTAATTTTGCCTGTGAACTTCATGTAAATGGAACAGTCTTATATGTGTCTTTCTGTGGACACATACATTCATTTCTCTTGGGTATATACCTAGAAGTGAAGTTGCTGGGTCATAAGTGTGCACAGTTTTTATGTTATTATAAACTGCTGGCTGGGCATGGTGGTTCACACCTGTAATCACAATACTTTGGGAGGCCGAGGCAGGAGGATTGCTTGAGGCCAGAAGTTCAAGACCATACTAGTCAACATAGCAAGACCCTGTCTCAATTAAAAAAAGAAAAGAAAAGAAAAAAAGTTTAATAGTTTTCCAAGGTTGTTGCATTCTACTCTCCCTCTCACCATTAATGAGTGTTGCAGTTGCTCCACAGCTGCACCAGTTCTTGGTATGGCCAATCTTATTTTAGCCATTTGGATAGATATGGACTGTGGTTTTAATTTGTATTTATCTGATGAGGAATGATGCCGAACACCTATTCATTTGCTCGTTGGCCATTTGGATAACTTATGCAAAGTGTCTCTTGAAGTGTTACTTTTTGAATACCCAATGTTCAACATAGTGACTGGCAATTAACAAATATTTTTAAAGGTTTGTTGAATAAGACAATAAGAGTAAATAAAACTGGCTTTATTTGCGAATGTTTCTTTGTCACTGGCCACAGGAAATGGGTTGTGGAAGTGATTAGTTCCTATAGTCCATTTAAATTTGTTGGTTTTTGAAAATATCAAGACATAAATTCTAAACACAGCTGGTCGTATTTGTGATAGAAGCACTTGTGATTTTACATTAAATTTTGGTTCATTCATGCATTTAAAGTATTCGTTATCATAGTGTCTGGAAGCCCAGAAAGCCTTTAGACCAGAATACAAATTGTAACATTATCTTCTGTTTTCCTTTTATCATGTTAATATGATAGATTAAATATGATGTCTAAAATGCAGGATCTATTCTACTAGCTACACATTTTTATTTGATTGCTAGACTAGAAATGTGCTTTCTAATCCCTTAATGACAGATGAACTTTTAAAAATATGAAAAAAATTCAAAGTCCAGATTTAAGATTATTTTATATTTTAATAATGATTTTTCCAATTATAGACTAATAGCCAATTTTGAATATTTATAAAGTATGGCAATATAAAGAAAAAGCAACTTTATATTTCTACTGGGAACATATGGCCTTCTTGTTGTGTTTTGCACACGTGTGTGTTTGTGCACATGTAAATATATGTGTGTGTGATCCATGTAGCTGTTTATTTTTGTAGTTTCAATTTTCTCCTACGATAGATTGGAGATCTATCATACACATATATTGTATGCATATGTGTATAAAGAGAAAATTTGCTTGTTTTATATATGTGATATCTTTTGTGTAGCTCTTTGCTTCTTGTAGCAAATCTGAAAGGGGTACTTATTAATCTTTTTCCACTATCTGTGCTTTTTCAGGATGACAACTGTATCCATCTTTCCTGTGCTCTGGCACCTAACATCATACCTTGTGTATATAGCGTCATACCATCTTCATATAACTCATCAAATGTTAATTTATTAATAGGCTTTGAAAGCTGCTGGCTCTTTCAGAGACTTCCTCATTGTGATGAGAAGGCCAGATTGCATGTATTAATTAACACATGGGCTGTGCTATGTGATCCCAATGGATGTGAGAAATTCATGGTTTGCTTCCACTCCTGAGGTTTTATAGATTCAGATGCTCAAAAGGATCCTTAAAGATCTTCCCATAGAATTCTATGCATACAGGCAGACAAATTGTTGAATTCTCTAGGGTAGCCATGAATTCTCTTGTAATTTTCTAAAGTGCAGACTATTGGAATATTTTATCAAGTACAGTCTCTGCCAAATGTTACTTCATGGGTAGACTTAATTAGTAATTTAGTTATGTTTGAAATAGCTCAATTTCAACTTCAACTTTGTTAACCTTAAAACATAATTATATTCAATATTTAGGTGATAAGAAGAAAATGACAGCAGAAAGCAGTATGCTGAATTTATACAGTAAAGATGTTTATTCTCTAAATCTTGAATATACAAAATTGTAGTCCTGCAAGTTAATGTGATGCATAGTTTTAAAATATGAAAATTAAATGTGATTTCATAAAATTTCACTTGTAGAGCAACAAACCTACAGGAAATAGATAAGTGTAAAAATAGTGATCTCTGATTTGAATCTATTTTCCTTTAGATATTTTAGCATGAATAAATGCTTTGTGTATAATGTACCTTCGAAATTACCATTAAAAATTTTTAGAACAAAATGAAGTTTATGTGGCTCAATTGTGAAAATCTTACACATATTTGAAATGAATTTTTTAAATTTCAAAATGTTTAATGTAAATAAAAATGCATCCTTATCCCAAATTTTCCCCTCAGGCAATGGCTAGTGCCAGGTGTTGGGAAGATGGCTCCTCCTTTATAATTGTCTCCCAAGATTTTTCTATGAAAGGAGAATCTACTCAAACACCTTGGGTAGGCCAGGATGGCTCTGAAAGATGGGCGTATAACCTTTCCTATCCTGTGACTTTTCTAGGCATTATCATGTTCAGGCTGTGAAATTTTTGGCAGCAGTGCTACCAAGCAGCTGAACCCAGGCATACTCTGGTGTGAGGAATGCTAAGCCTGCGTGTCACCACTGACTCCTTACGAGGTGGAAGGGTTCTGCTTTCCTTTTTTCTGCTGCTCCTTCCCCATAATGTTATCAGTCCTTACTAGGAAGAATGAAGCTTTTGAGTGTAACCAGAGTGCATCAGCTGTATTCTTTACAGTTGATTATTGGCTAGTAACTAGGAACTCAAATATTGAGCCCCTACCCAACGTGGTGTCGAAATTCTGTAATAAAAGAAGTCACTTGTAAATTTAGTTTTCCCTGCATCTGAAATATCATTTAACTAAGAAAACTCAAAAATTCAATAAGCTTAATGAATTTAAGTTCCTTGGGTAGTTTCATATCAAAGTATTTAGTGGGGTTAAAATAACTTCATATGCTATATATTCCAAAACTTATTTCATATTAAGTACAGAGCATTACAACATAGTTTGTGCTTTTTGTGAATAAGGAGATGGAATGTTTATGTTGTTTACTCTCTGAAATGCATCCCATTAAAAATATGATAAGATAGACACATTCTATTATTAATCCCCAATGTTCCCTTTCCCATTATATATCATGTCTGCTGATCACTGCTTAGGAGACCTTGTTGGCCCCACATGTTTTTAAAATTGCCAATTAACAGCCTTGCCCAGATGCAGCTTGTTACCAGCCACAAAGGAGAAATGTTGTTTTATAACAAGCAAATTGTTTATTTTGTGATTGGGCTAAAAACATGTAAGTAGAGCTATATGAAACAAGGGATGTCTTCGGGGTTAATTGGAAACTGAGAACCTTCATCACAAATTTTACTATGTGCTTCAGTGCCTCTCCTGTGAGTATAAAAACCCTGGAGACCGGAGGTGTTGTTTTGCTTCACTCAGTGCAAACTGCTTTGAGACTCTTGGACACCATTAAGTCAAATTTTAGTCCAGACATTTTGTTCAGACCTAAACTCTGAATGACACTTTCTCAGTTGATTGAGAGGGAAGAACAATATCTGGGAAATATTGATAATGTGATACAAATGCCAAAGTGTTCAACTTGAGCTTTTTTTTCCTGTGAAGTTAAATATGTACATATATTTATGATTATGATATATGTAAAATATATCAGCCCTTGATGTTTTATGTTCTGCTGTAAAAATGTTATTTTTTTCTCTGTCTTACACTCTGTGGCCTGGATAATGATGTCTTAAGTCTGGGCATGTTTTTCTTGAGAAGCATTTGTATTCTTTTTCTTTTACATGTTCCCTCCTACTTCAACTTTCCTCCTCCCACCATGTAGCCCCAAATAAATATTTGCCTTCTCATTTTTAATCTTTTATGTTTTATTATATTACTGTGAGTTTATGGACCTACACAAAAAGTTGCTGTCTGAATAAAATAATACTTGGTCAAGTTCTAAAAGATATATCAATCTAGATAAGTTCATTTAGAAATAAATATTATCTACTGAATCTTGTGAAGATAAGATCTAGTCAATGCTTATAAGAAGCATATATTCTAATAGAAATAATAATAACAATATCAACACATTGCAGTCTTATATTGTGTCAGTGTAAAGTACTTTACATTCATTATCTTCTAAGATAAATTCAATTATCCCCATTTTTCAGATGAAGAGATCAAGACCCAGAGAGGTTAAATAGCCTAAGATTATGTAGGTTAAATGGGACCCAGGAAGGACAGAGATTTTGACTGAATCTGTCTGACTCAAAGCTGACATATTTGCATCATGCGTTAACATAATTGTGCAAAGCATTGGGTGATTGAGAGTTCAGGTGTATAGACGAATGTTAGAAAAGAGAAAACAATTCCAGATTTGGATTGTCAGGGGTAAGTTCTATGGAAAAGGTGAGCAGGTAGCAGTGGTAGGTTGAAATTGTGAGAAGAAGGCTTTGAGAGCTCTTGGGAAAAAAATTCACACCCTATGCAAATCTGTGCAGGTTGTTCCATATGGTGTCTGGAAGTGCTCAGGGTCCCCACATTTGCCAGTATTGTCAGGCAGCCTATGCACAGAGTGAAAACTGTTCCATTAACTGAGCCTCTGGGTGGTCTTATATGTTCAAAGCCCAGTGGGTTTGATTTGTTCTATGCCATTGACATAGAGCTTTTGGGAAAATGACAGCATTAGTTTCAATTAGGGAGTTCTATACTTGTCAGAGATTTTATAGTTTACCTATTTTCATGAAAATGATCTTATTTTGTTCTTGAGATGGAGTCTTGCTCTGTCGCCCAGGCTGGAGTGCAGTGGCGCTATCTCGGCGCACTGCAAGCTCTGCCTCCCAGGTTCACGCCATTCTCCTGCCTCAGCCTCCCGAGTAGCTTGGACTACAGGCGCCCACCACTAGGCCCGGCTAATTTTTTGTATTTTCAGTAGAGACAGGGTTTCACCGTGTTAGCTAGGATGGTCTCCATCTCCTGACCTCGTGATCCGCCTGCCTCAGCCTCCTAAAGTGCTGGGATTACAGTCATGAGCCACCGTGCCCGGCCGATCTTATTTTGTTCTTAACAAATTAGGATGGGCATTATTATCCTAATTTTATTAATGAAGAAACAAAAGCTCAGAAAGGTTTTATAATAATAGTATTATACCACATATTATTGTTTGCATCTTTCTATTTTCCTTAATATATCATTAGTGTATTCTTGTATTAGTATTCTTTACATCATAATTTTAAATAGCTGCATGTATTTCCTCATATAGATATGACAGTTACCTTAAGCAGTATTCTGCTATTAAACATTTAGGTTGATGTTATTCCTGTATTGCCAATGGTGTGGGAAAAGGTCTCTCCTATATTGTGTGTATTACGAATGGGGATACAAATTTGACAATATCAATTACAATTTTAAATGTGCATGCTCTTTGAGCAAACAACTCTACTTTTAGGAAAACATGAATTAGAAATAATCACACACATACAATAGCAGCATTGTTGATATTTGAGGAAACATTGGGAACAGCTTAAACATACAAAAACTAGAAATTATTTAGATTGACCAGGCATAGTGGCTCATGCCTGTAATTCCAATAATCTGGGAGGTCAAGGTGGTCAGATTGCTTGAGCCAGGGAGTTTGAGACCATCCTGGGCAACATGGCGAAAGCCTGTCTCTACAAAAAAAATACAAAAAAATTAGCTGGGGATGGTGGCTTGTGCCTGTAGTCCCAGCTGCTTGGGAGGCTGAGGTGGGAGGATCATCTGAGCACAAAGGTCAAGGTGGTGGTGAGCTGAGATTGCACCACTGCACTCCAGCCCAGGCAATAGAGTGAGACCCTGTCTCAAACAAACAAACAAACAAAAAACAAAAAAAAAGAAATTAGTTATATCATGGCACATTCATGCAATGAAATACTCTACAGCCATGAAAAGGATCCAAATGTGCTGTCAAGGGAAGCTCTCCAAAGTGTATTTTGAGTAAAAACATCAGATTCCATAATAGTATGAACCCATCTATTAAATATGTGAATATATTACACCACATGAAGGAAAAATAAATATGTGAGTATAGATTTGCATATTTACCAAACATATCTGGAGTAATATAAGACCATGAAAAAATGATCTTTGGAAAATTTATTGGGTGGGTACATGAGTATGCTAAGCAAGGAGTTGGAGGGGCTTTCTATTTTATGCACTTCTGCTTTTCCTTAACTTTAACATTATTTTTATTTTTAAAACAGAAGTTTTCTGTGGGGAAAAATAAGTGTCACAGTTTGATACAGATCCAGTCTGCTTGGCTCCTAGCCCTTCAACATAGTTTGGCCCAAATAATAGTTATGCTTTAGTTGCTTTGTGCAACCCTTTCCACTGCTGGCTCTTTGCTCAGTAAAGCTGCCCTTAGCCTAGGTTACCTCCTCCGCCCTGCAACCACCCTCTCATCCAACACTATAAACAAGACACACTGAAATGTCTCTCCAACCTCTCTCATCTCTTACATAGCCTGCTTTTGCCTTTCCAACCAAGGAGTGATATGTAAGACTTTTTTCCACCTAATTTTCTGAAAGATCACACTACTTAGTGTGATGAGTTGCATATTCAGACTCTGTGCTGTCCTTCAATCTGGACCCATCCTACTTTTGTATCCGACAGATATATACCAGATGAAATTCCTGGTCATTCAAAGTCTCATTTCCAGTACTGATGTATGCTTCACCCCTGTTTTTTCATTTTCTTAATTGTTTTGAACTGGATCAGAAAGGGGAGAATTGTGTGTCTCTACTCACATTTCCATTTTTACCTGGAACTCATAGAGCTACTCAGCAATGAAGCCAGACCCAGGAGGATGTATCAGGCAAAGGAAATAGCACAAGCGAAGGCACAAAGAAAGAACAGGGTACATTGGGGGAACTGTAGTTAGGCATTGCTTGAGGATGTCGCCTTCTCTTTATGTGCCCTTAAGCCATAATTACACCTCCCTCCACTACATATTCACAGCACCTCATGCTCATGGCAAGCATCACCAATTAATTATGGAGGTGACCTCACAATTCCTCTCAGCAGAGTCCTCCAGCAGCCATCATCTGGGGTACTGGTATATGGGAGGAAACCCATTTTCCAACTCAGCCGTAAAGTCTACCTGAGTCCCCAGATAGAGCTGGTACTGTCTTTGCAGTGCAACAGTGACAATTGCAGTTATGGCAATAACATGCTGGTAATATTCAATGGGTAGCACTCATTCTAATTTATTTAGTAATCATACATTTTCACTAATCTTCCCATTCATCCTGGCAGGTTTGAAGACTCTGACATAAGACATTACTATGTGGTTGAGAAAGAAGTCCAGGGCTGAAGGTTCATTTCAATTTAAGAGATAGAGAGAAAAATCACTTTTCTCTACTGATGTATGATTTATCTCTTGGCTGTTTCCCATGCTTTTGAGTGGATTAATATTTCTGAAGTCTTAATGTATTGTATTTATTCTCGATGTTTATTTACTGACAATAACAGCTCTGACCAATGACATGGCAATTTAGAGCATTTAAAATTTAAAATGGTTTCCATGTTAATAGCTGGAAACCAAAAATGTTTATTTTATAAGTTATTTCTAGTCCTGAAGCAATTAAGATGCACTTCTACTTTTGACAGGTCACTTTTTTTCTTGAATGACTAGGGTCCTGGAGGTACTTGCAGCCTAAAAAAAACCCCACTAAAATCATGAGCTAAATTTAACTCTTATGAGGGTACTTTTTGAACTCTTCCGTACTATTACAAGTTTTTAATTCTGTTTTCAATTAGAATGGCTTTAATGATCATCATTAAAATGTTTATAGTTAAATGTAAATTCAATTCTTTATAATGGAATGCCTTAAGCAACATTTAACTTAATAAGAAGAAAATAATATTTTCCTATAGTTTTGTTTTTAAAATTTATTGTCCAAATCTGACAAAATCTAACCAAAAGCAGAAAACTGTCCTCTGACAATCTTTCCCTCTAAAATATTAATGTTTTCATTTTTATCTGTTCTCTTTAAGTTCTTGCCTGTGCATAACTGAAATTTAAAAAAATTGTAGTGTAATATAAAAAATAGTTTATTTTATTGTTAGAAATTAAATTTCATATTTCATGACCAAGATGCAAATCTTAATAAATACCATTTTCTCTTAAGGTTACATGTTTTTCATAGGGAGATTTCATGGATTTACTCCAAACTCCTTTTCTGGTGCTTACTCTTACTGAATTTACATGTCACATGGCTTCATAACTCATGAAAATACTCCTTCATTGATTCCATGCAGTAAAAGGCAAGAGAGCTTTCAAATCTAGAATCTGTTGGCTTTTTGGACAACTAAGGGTGTTTGGAGCTCCTTCTTTCTGTATCAGTAACTTGATGCTTTCTGAATTTCTGTTTTTAAAAACATGTCATTTATACTCTTGCAAGCCTAAAGTATTTGAATACTGGAGGAAATTGAAATTTTATAGGCTATCAGCACAGCAGATCTATCTTTGCTAAGAAAGTGAGGAAAAAATAGTAGGCTTGTGTCCAGCTGCAGAACTGGGTTATTGAGGCAAGAGATCCAAGATGACTTGGTGAAGGGCATGCTTCATCCTGTCCTTCAAGGCTACAAGAAGTTGTGGTCATGGAAAAGCAGAAAGCCAAGATGTTTGTTTTGCTAAAATACAGTGACCTTGAAAGCAGGACAAGAGTTCCTGCTTTCTTTAAGGTGGCCCTGAATGTAGTTCAAATATTAATCTGACCAGGTTTGTACTGCATAGTAACTTGTGAAAGGCCATCTTTAGCTTCAAAAATCAAGATCCAGTTTTTTTTTCTGCACTATCTAGGCTTTAAATTTTCCTCATAGGTGTCAAACTCACATTGATCTTATAACTATTATAATAGCACTATCCAAGATCATCACAAGCTTTTAGTATGCTAGGTACTTGTCTAAGGAATTATTGTTTAATTCATTTGATCCTCCTGTGAATTTGGTACTATTATTGTTCCCACTTTTAAGATGACATGACTATCGCACAGAAAGTTCAGATATCTTACCTAGGTTAAATGAAGGATCTGGGAGGGTGAATCAGGCAGTCCTGTTCCGGAGCTTACAGACCTAACCACCGGCTAAGCAGCCTCCCACCTGCAACGTGGCTCAGAGAGAACAGCTTGTATGTTGAGAAGTCTGTAAGTACTTGTCATGGAAACCTCAAGTGTATGAATAGAAAATGGGAGTTGATAGAAACATCTAATATGTATTAGTGTAGAATGTTTCAAAAGGTATTTGAATTTTAAATTTGGGAAATATAGCCTTTTCTATTTCATAACATTGCACAGGATGGAAAGAAACTGCTTGGATGCGACACTTAAGTGGAAGGCGATGAATGATGTGGCCTTAAAGCTGCCTTCAGGAGTTTGGGTGAAAGCCCTTTCAGGCTGCATTTCAACCTTGGTTTCTAAATCATGCCCTCGGTCTCTTCACACAATAGCACAGTGTAGATTCTCTCCCCTTGTCTTCTCTGTTCACATAAATCATCTTACTTTGTGCTTTCCTCCAATTAATGTTCATGAGATGCATCCTCATTATGCATCAAGCCCTGTGCTGCAGCAGGCTCTCCAGAGCTCAGCCCAAGAAGAGCTTATTGGGATATTTAGGGGTAAATTCCAGACCCCTAAGCAAATTTCACTTTCTGAGATGGTTGTGTAAAGAAACAAAAAGAGGCCTGGGAATACAGTAATTGAATGTGAGGAAGAAAAATAATCCTCCCAAATATTTTTTCCAGTACTCAACAGGCTGCTCCCTCCTGCTCTGGGCATCTTCCTCTTCTCTTGGCAACAGCTGGGAGGGAGGAGACTTGCTTTTGAGACTTGCTTTTAATGGAGAGTTGGCTTCCCTCTGATTCCACTGTTTGGATTTCTTGAACTAATGAGAGGTGCCAATCAAAGTTATGTTTCCCCTGTTTAGTTAGCTCATTTCACTTCTTTATGCCATTTAATAATGGTGAAATCGGTCATCTATGAAAGCACTGTGGAGTTGGCCTGTGTAATCGCATGTTCTTTGTTCAGAATTCAGTATGGGTGGAAGAAACAAATCCAAGCCTATTGCTGCTGCATTTGAGGATTTGTTTGTTTTTTCAGTTTTTATTTTTAAAAGTTTTGGTGAAAAATGGAACAAATTATTTAAGATTCCAAATTTGGACTCTTCTTGATTCAATAAATCAAATGCTTCTGAATAATGTGGTATTTAAGCAAGAATCTTTAAAAATAACTATTTAGATTCTGTTAATACAAACAACAGCCAAAAACAGAAAAAAAAAAACACAACTCCTGTAAACAAGAGCTTCTGTGAGTGAAAAAGCGAAAAACAAGCTGTGCCAAGACACAAGAAGTCAGCAGATACACTGACAAAGCTGAAAAAGGGATGAAAGAGATTCATGGGTGTTTGCTGATTCTTGGCTTCTGTCCTCACCTGTCCCCACACTATTTTTTTTTTTTTTGATACAGGTTCTCATTCTGTCACCCAGTCTGGAGGGCAGTAATGTGATTATGTTCCCTGCAGCCTCAACTTCCTGACCTCAAGTGATCCTCCTGCCTCAGCCTCCCAAGTAGCTAGGATTGCAGGCACACACCACCATGCTTGGCTAATTTTTCTGAAAGAATTTTTTGTAGAGGTGATATTTCACTATGTTGCTCAGGTTGGTCTCAAACTCCTGGCCTCAAGCAATCCTCCTTCCTGGGCCTTCCAAAATGCTGGGATTATAGCTGTGAGCCACTATACCTGGCCTTGAGTTAGTTTCTGTTACTTGCAGCTAAAGTAGTCTTAACTAGTGTTATAAATAATATGAAAAACAACAAAGTCTTAAACATGTAATTTATGGCATGCTTTTTGCAGACAGTAGTGTACTGGAAACACTGAAGCGCTGAGATTTGTTTACCTTTTGAGGCTGAGCAGAGAATTGCTTTGTGGGATGGGAGCTAATACTCAGCTATAGCATTTTCAGGCCAGGCCTTTATACCCAGGAGGGAAGGAGAATATTTTAAGAGTAGGGAGAGGTCAGTGGGTTACTACAGGAAGGCACAGTACTGTCAGGGTAAGAGAAGGCACATACCTCTGTTGGCCCATTGATTGCTACCTTGGATTGAGGGAGTTGATCCCATTAGTAAAACAGAAGAATTCTGGGGCATTTTGGAAAGATCCTGGGACACAAATACTGGCAGGGAGACATCTGCCTACCAGATCTCTTATCCTGACAGCACTTCCTACTTCCATAAGATGCTCAAAAGAAGCCAGAATTAATTAATGCATATAATCCAAACATCATGTTGTACACCATAAATATATATGATTTTTAGAAAAAGAAAAGAGAAAGTAGAGAATGGAAGGAGTGAGAAATCAAGATTTTGGAATAACAAAAATAATGTAAAATTTATATAGATATAATATAAAATAATATCTCTTTTTGAAGTTGCTTCAACTGTTAAGCAAAGAAGGAGCATGAAGGTATGTATACTTCGGCACCTGCAAATGGTTTAAGGAAGGAAAACGAATGTGTGGATACAGATAACATGGAACTAGTGTGCTTGTGAAGCACATAAGAATATAAGATTAAAGAAAGTAAAGTGGATAGGACAGAATATGAATGATCTGACTTGTTAATTTAGACACCTCATGCTTTGTTTTATCTTCTACTTGCTGTCACAGAAATGGAAATTGAAATAATTTTCTTACCATCCAGGAGACTTTGAAGAGTCAACCCTTCCTGACCTCAAGGAAAGGGAAGCCTAGTTTTAAGATTTCAGCTCTGTATGTAATGGTCCTTCACAGCTCATTGTGAAAGAATGAAAGGGAGTATAAGGTTTGTGAAAAGAAGCAGAATGGCACAGAGAAGTTGAGACAAGGAGGGACCTCCCTAGCCTGACATGAAAATGAACCTAGAGAGGTGAGATCCTAGATACCAGAGTTGCCAGCCTCCTGGGAGATCCCCATGTCCTACTCAAGGCATGCAAGCAGAGAGTTTAACAGACCATGTCAGGCTTAATTAGTGAAAATGCCTTCTGCACTCATGACAAAAGAGATATAAGAGATATTTCTCTTTCTTCAGCCACCACGGATGCCTTCTGGTTTCTGGGATGGGATTAAGAGCCTAATAATGACCCACATAGAATTTAATTCCAGTGGGATAGAAAATAAGGCAGAACTTAGTTGAAATAATGTAAATTAAGTGATTTCTCTTCTATGCTTCAGGTTGTATACTGACTTTCTTACCAGCTACATAGTTTTACCCAATATTGGCCTCTGTCCAAATACTAATAATGCATCTGCTCTTGTTTTCTGTGAAGGTAATATAATTTAGGTACACCCTTCTGCAGGAAGTGTGTTTTCTTCTCTTTGTAATTCAACATCTGCTTTTTTTTCCCCTTTATGGAATCAAGCAGCTGTACTGAGAGTGAAAAAAATTAGCCTTGATTTGCAAGATACCATGTTTCCCCAAAGAGATGGAAGTACCCCTATCATTTCTTTAATTCTGGTTCAAAAGTGTTAGGTGTTGATATATATGATGAATTTATTTGATAGGGTCAGACTTCAGTGCATTTGCTCACAAATTTTAGATCTCTCTCCTTCTAAGTAGCCTGGATATATGGAACTCAGATTTATACAAGGAATGGATTTGTTTTACATAAACAGAAGCCTGGAATTTAAAGGAAAAAGGTTTCGGCTGAGGTACTTCCTGGTTATTAAGTAATGTCAAAGCCTGATTTTTCTCTTCTTTGTGTTAATGCTCAGATAAAAGGCTCACAATGTGGAGGAGTAAAGTCTTAAATCTGTGATAATTCAGGGGTCTTGCCTTGAGAGAAATGTCTATCAAATAAGAAGCAGCAGAGAGCAGATATGAATTTGATCTGGGCAAGTGCCACAGAGTGCTAAAAGCTTTCCAAAGGAAGAGCAGATTCCAGGGTGGAGCCCAGCACTGTTGCAGATATGCAGTTTTGTTCCTAACATTTGTTGACTTAGATATGGATGGAGGAAGGACAGAAGTTACCAAATTTGTTTGAAGGCTTATTTTTTCCTAATGATAAAAGTAGTACATGATCAACTGAAGAAATAAAAAATGAAACATAAAGAAAAAAATTAACAATAGTTCCATCCAGAAAAAACTATTATAAACATTTTGGTGCATTTCTACAAGTCTTTTTGTATGCACATATGCATACACACACATACATGTAAATATATATCCAGATATATACTGGAATATACTGTAGATACTGCTTTATATTCTGCTTTATTCACTCAAGAGTGGATCATTAGCCATGTCTTTAAAAGTTTTTCACAAATACTTTGAATGACTGCTGAATTAGTCTGTTTTCACACTGCTGATAGAGACATAACCAAGACTGGGCCATTTACAAAAGAAGGAAGTTTAATGCACTCACAGTTCCATGTGGCTGGGAGGCCTCACAATCATGGCAGAAGGTGAAAGGCACATCTCACATGGTGGCAGACAAGAGAAGAGGGCTTGTGCAGGGAACCTCCCATTTTTAAAATCATCAGATCTCATGAGACTTATTCACTATCATGAGAACATTATGGGAAGGACCCCCCCCTCATGACCCACCCCAGAATGGTGGATCCACTGTCAGCTTGCACCATGTGCCTGGAAAAGATGCAGATACTCAATGCCAGTCTGTGAAAGCAGCCAGAAGGGAGTCTGTACCCTGCAAAGCCACAGGGGTGGAGGTACCTCCCACCAGATACCTCCCACAACACGTGGGAATTCAAGTTGAGATCTGGGTAGGAACACAGCCAAACCATATCATTCTGCCCCTGTCCCCTCCAAAACCTCATGTCCTCACATTTCAAAATCAATCGTGCCTTCCCAAGAGTCCCCCAAAGTCTTAACTTATTTCAGCATTAACTCAAAAGTCCACAGTCCAACGTCTCATCTGAGACAAGGCAAGTCCCTTCCACCTATGCACCTGTAAAATCAAAAGCAAGTTAGTTACTTCCTAAGTACGATTGGGGGACAGGCATTGGGTAAATACAGCCATTCCAAATGGGACAAATTGGCCAAAACAAAGGGGCTAAAGGACCCATGCAAATCCAAAATCCAGTGGGGCAGTGAAACCCTAAAGCTCCAAAATGATCTCCTTTGACTCCATGTCTCACATTCAGGTCACACTGAGGCAAAAGGTGGGTTCCCATGGTCTTGGGCAGCTCCACCCCTGTGGCTTTGCAGGGTACAGCCTCCCTTCTGGCTGCTTTCATGGACTGGCATTGAGTATCTGCAGATTTTCCAGGCACATGGTGAAAGCTGACAGTGGATCTACCACTCTGGGGTATGGAGGACAGTGGCCCTCTTCTCACAGCCCCACTAGGCAGTGCCCCAGTAGTGATTCTGTGTGGGGGCTCCAACCCCACATTTCCCTTCTTCACTGACCTAGCAGAGGTTCTCCATGAGGGCACCACCCCTGCAGCAAATTTCTGCCAGGGCATCCAGGCATTTCCATACATCATCTGAAATTTAGGCAGAAGTTCCCAAACCTCAATTCTTGACTTCTGTGCACTCACAGGCTCAACACCATGTAGAAAAGTTGCCATGGCTTGAAGCTTGCACCCTCTGAAGCCATGGCCCAAGCTCTACATTCGCCCCTTTCAGCCACTGCTGGATTGGCTGGGATGCAGGGCACCAAGTCCCTCGGCTGCACACAGCATGGGGGCCCTGAGCTCAGTCCACGAAACCTCTTTTTCCTCCTAGGCCTCTGGGCCTGTGATGGAAGGGGCTGCCACAAAATCTCTGACATGCCCTGGAGAAATTTTCCTCATTGTCTTGGTGATTAACATTCGGCTCCTCCTTACTTACGCAAATTTCTGCAGCTGGCTTGAATTTCTCCTCAGAAAATGGGATTTTCTTTTCTATTGCATTGTCAGGCTGCAAATTTTCCAAACTTTTATGATCTGTTTCCCTTTTGAAACTGAATGCCTTTAATAGCACCCAAGTCACCTCTTGAATGCTTTGCTGCTTAGAAATTTCTTCCACCAGATACCCTAAATCATCTCTCTCAAGTTCAAAGTTCCACAAATCTCTAGGGCAGGGGCAAAATGCCATCAGTCTCTTTGCTAAAACATAACAAGAGTCACCTTTGCTCCAGCTCCCAAGAAGTTCCTCATCTCCATCTGAGACCACCTCAGCCTAGACCTTATTCATATGACTATCAGCGTTTTTGTCAAAGTCATTCACAAGGTCTCCAGGAAAGTCCAAACTTTCCCACATTTTCCTGTTTTCTTCTGAGCCCTCTGAACTCTTCCAACCTCTGTCTGTTACCCAGTTCCAAAGTCGCTTCCACATTTTTGGTATGTTTTCAGCAACACCCCACTCCACTGGTACCCATTTACTGTATTAGTCTGTTTTCATGCTGCTGATAAAGACAAAACCAATACTGGGCAACTTATAAAAGAAAGAGGTTTAATGCACTCACAGTTCCACGTGTCTGGGGGTGGTTTCACAATCATGGCGGAAGGTGAAAGGCACATCTCACATGGTGGCGGACAAGAGAAGAGGGCTTGTGTAGGGAAACTCCCTTTTTTTTTTTTGAGATGGAGTCTTGCTCTGTCACCAGGCTGAAGTGCAGTGGCACAATCTCTGCTCACTGCGACCTCTGACTCTCTGGTTCAAGTGATTCTCCTGCCTCAGCCTCCCAAGTAGCTGGGATTACAGGCACGTGCCACAAAGCCCAGCTAATTTTTGTGTTTTTGGTAGAGACGGGGTTTCACCATGTTGGCCAGGATAGTCTCGATCTCCTGACCTCTTGATCCATCCCCCTCGGCCTCCGACAATGTTGGGATTACAGACGTGAGCCACCACGCCCAGCCAGAAACTCCCATTTTTAAAACCATCAGATCTTATGAGACTTATTCACTATCATGAGAACAGCATGGGAAAGACCCGCCCTCATGATTCAATTACCTCCCACCAGGTACCTCCTAAAACACGTGGGAATTCAAGATGAGATTTGGGTGGGGACAGAGCCAAACTACATCAACTGCATATTCTATCAGAAATGTATATCATAACTTATTTAACCAATCTGCTTTTTAAAGAATAATTTTATGTTGGAAACCATTGCACATAAACCTTGGCTCTACTTCAATTATTTCCTCATAACAGATTCCTAGATTTCATATGGTTTAAAAATTGCAATTGTTTGAACTTGTATTTCTTTGATGACTTGTGAGCTTGAACATATTTCATGTTTAGTAGTCACATACATTTCTTCTGTAAATATGTCTTTTATTCATTTTTATATTGGAGGTTTTAGGGTTTTTTAAACACATCATATAACCTTACTATATATTAAAGACACTGATACTTTATTTTTGACATATATTATGAATTGCCTGGTAATATATATGTGCTGCTATATGAAGACTATTAACTCTTTGTCTTTGTTGAAGTATATTTTTGTCCCAGGTCCATATCTTCCTGTGAAGTGCTTGTCAATTCTTTAAGGGCCAGGTCAAATCTTCTTTCCTCCTAAAAGCCTTCTAAGACCCCTGAGTTGAAATGAAGCTTTTCCTCTTCCACCCTACCACCATATTTGGTTTTATTACTCTATAGCACTTGCTTCTATCTGCTTTAAAAGAAAACTTCCCTCTTGGAAGAGCATCCATCCTGTTTTACTCACTTTGATATCCCTTAGAGTACAAGTGTCAAATAAATGCTTGTTGTGTTAAATGAAACAAAGTCAAAATCATTACAGCTTAACTTTCAAACACAATAGATCCCTACTATCTTGCAATTTTAAGTATTGTAGACTTGACACAATCAGGTACAAACTGCATGAATAAAAATGGAACCAATGATTTTTCTCCCGCCTCCTAATCTAAGGATTTTAGCCCAAGCTGTAGGGATTTATGACTCCCATAGTAGTTCGGCCGAAGTTAGCTACTCAGATGAGCTTTTTCTAAACTGTAAACTTGAGCCCATATAATTAAATTTCACTGGGAGAAATATATCAGTAAAACCACTCTAAGTGACATGGTTATAAAAAAAGAGAAATAGAAGCTAGACAGGCACACTTAATCATAACTTCTAATGGGATTAGAAATATGAAGACAACAGCCAAAACAACAAAATATCCAAGGATGCTAAGTTAAAATTGCCAGGAGTGACTCTGAATGAAATAATTTTGTTTTATTGGTACCAAGGGTAACGATACTGAATAGAGTGATACACATAACCAATAAACAGGACAGTACATGGTTTAACAGCAGACTCTTCACCAGGAATACAGATATAAAAGGCTTTGACTGTTCAATTTTAAAACTCAAGCCCTCAATTTTTCTTTGAGAAGAGTTGATGTCCTGTTTTTTAGGAAAATTCATGTGAATGTAGGTCTTGAAGATGGGTTACAAGTGGAGCATGAGGGTGTTTAAGGAGCCAGTTAATAACAGGATAACTTGTGGCCCAGGCTTTTTTGGCTCAACGAGATTTCACCTGGTGTCTGGATGTGCTCACTCATCTAGGCTGTCAGAATATACCCCCTGAGGCTGATACCACTGCTCTTGTGTGGGAAATCAGAGTAAGCAGATCTTCCAGAAATTGGAAGCCAGAACGAAGAAAATTCTTTATGTAGGATGTGCTATTTTTTTTTAAGCTTTGAAGTTTGAAGTGTACAGTCTTGGCATGAAGGTCTGGAACAGGCACATAAATTGTTCTGCCAACAAGATAAAAGAGTTCTAATATTGAGTCATAGAGATGGGAGAGAAGTAGAGTTCTGTGCAGCATTCTGTCTCTGCAGCCCTCTTCCTCCCTCTCAGAAGCAAACAGTGTTTGATGGGGGATAGAGTAGGGGACACAGGAGAGCCCTTCCTTAATACTCTTGGGATATTTCAGTGTAAAGGGAACTTTTTCCCAGCAGATGTCCCAGTGCCACTAGGCATGGATGTTTAACAGAGATGGTGGCAAAGGGATAATGGGCCTGAATGAGTGCTCACTACGAGTCAATAATAATTATAATCAAAAGTTAACTACCACACTGTAATAATAGTAGAAAATTTAAACTTTAGATGCTGCCATGGATGTGGTGAAAAGGGAATGCTTTCACACTGCTGGAATATAAACTAGTAAAACCACTATGGAAGACAGTATGGAGATTCCTTAAAGAACTAAAAGTAGAACTACCATTTGATCCAGGAATCCCGCTTCTGGGTATCTATCCAAAGGAAAAGAAGTCAGTATATGAAAAAGACATACATGTACATGCATGTTTATAGCAGCACAATTTGCAATTGCAGAAATATTAACCAACCTAATGCCCATCACCCAATGAGTGGATAAAGGAAATGTGGTGTATATATATGCTATGGAATACTACTCAGCCAAAAAATGGAATGAAATAATGGCCCTTGCAACAACTTGGATGGAGCTGGAGGCCATTATTCTAAATGAAGTAACTCCGGAATTAAAAACCAAATATTGTACGTTCTCACTTGTAAGTGGGAGCTAAGCTATGGGGACACAAAGGAATAAGAATGATATAATGAACTTGGGGACTTGGGAGGGAAGGGTGGGAGGGAGCTGAGGGATAAAAGACTGCATACTGGGTACAGTGTACACTGGGTGATGGGTGCACGAAAATCTCAGAAATCACCACTAAATAACTTATCCATGTAACCAAAAACCACCTGTTCCCCAATAACTATTAAAATTTTAAAAAAGAATTATATACCATCAAGGATATTTGAGGAAAATATCCTTCAAGGGTAACAGTGAAATAAAGCCATGTTTACACAAACAAAAACAAACAAGAATGATAATATAGTGACATCAGCTGGCTTCTGATTTAAATGATCTACAACAAGAGAAAGAAGAAATGAAAACTATGAATGTTTAGTTGAGAACACACATGGAGAATCAAAAGAGCCTCCATGGCAGCTTTGAAAGAGTCCCTCCTCTCCTGTAAGTTGCAAGGTAGATATGGCTGAGCCCCAAGCCTTGGGCCTGATTGGAAGTTCTTCAGAACTGGAACATCAGTGAAATGCTCATTTCTACTAGATCTCTTATAGTAAATTAAAGGCACTACTGGAAAGGAGTGGATGAAGATATTTGGGCAGACATGTGTGAAGCTGAGAAATCTGATATCCCAAATGATGAGAATCTCTCTTGTCCAAGGAACCCTCTCCTGCCTTCAGGAAGTCAGCTTTCCTGTGAATTGAAGTCTTTCCACAAGTATATCTTGGGCAGCAATCTCACAAGGTGACACTGATTCTTCTCAGGACCTATCTCCTCACTATATTTTATTGCCTCTGGGTTAATTTATGATTTATATCCTAACAGGATCTAGATTTCAAATATGTCAGGACATAGTCTTTAAAAGAGTTACAAGACGGCACCAAATATTGTCAAAAGTGCGAGGGGCATGTATGGGAGAGAATTCTAATGGTCTAATTCAAAGAGGATTAACTATAAGGCTTGATTGAATTAAATTTACTGCCATAGGTGTGCTCACATGGAATTTTGAATTTAATGTGCTGGTACAAGTACTTTTAATGGCATCGATAGCCTGCTATACTGGCCAGTGAAAGCCTGGATTCAATAAAAGCCTACCATTAATGAAGTATAAATGATAGATCTTCCCTGTCATGCTGTACAGTACTGGTTCTCAAACTTCGGTATGCAACAGAATCTTGGGAAAGCTTCTTAAAATACAGATTTCTGGAATCTACCCTAAAGTTTCTGATTTAGTAGGTCAAACTGAGGTCCAAGAAGTTGAATTTCTAACAAGTGCCCAGGTGATGCCAATATTGCTGGTCCTAGAACTACACTTTGAAAACTAGAGCTATGGAGGAAAGGGTTCTGAAGGCTAAGGAAGATGGAATTATTGAAATGCTTCTAGTGCATGCAATATTCACAGCTATCCCCTAACCATATCCTTCCATGGGGCCTGAAGGATTTTTTTCTGTAAGAAAAACACTTAAGCAGAATGTTTTATTGACTTTAGATCAGCTGGCAATAATTATGTGCATTTATGCCTTATTTTACCTCACTGGAAAAAAAGATTAATGTTATATTAATGAGACTTCTGACTTTCATGTGTTTGTTGCTCTGGGCTAAGAGAATGTTCAGCTTTTTCCTGTAATATGCGCTTCAGTATTACAACTCACCAACAAAAGGAGTATGTCCCAAATTTCCACTTGCTGCCATCCACTTCTGGGCCTGGAGGATTTTTTTGTCACCATGGCATTAAGAAATGCATGGATCAGGTTGTATTGTCATCCTTCATAAGCTCCCTGGTGGTTGTCCTTAGTAAAACACAAATGATGGTAGAAGATGCTGTACTGGAATTGGGTCCCCTGATATCAGTAACAAAAATGGAATCCCAGAGGGGTAGAAACTGGGTGGTGGAATTTAAGCTTTAGGGACAAGATGGAAACAAATACCACAATAAGCTATAAGAACAGAATAGTGATTACAGTATTTTTATCTATAAAGTTCTACAGTGATGACTAATGGATCATGGATTTTCTAGAAATAAAATAAATGGACAACCTCTAAGACACTGCTTGAAAAATATAGGCAAAAAAATCTCAGGCTTGGTGGCAGAGGCCCAACTTCAGTCACTGTGTTAGAGATGCATGATCATTCCTAGTTTCCAAGTTTAAGATAGTTCATACACCTTTCACTTTTGAAGAGGGAAAAGCCAGGTTCTAAAGGCTCTGCACTATGGCCTCAGGTATATGTTGGTACTGTGAAGCTTCCTCAAAGCTTTCCCTACAGGAACTTGTCCATTTAAAGGTGTGACTGTACAATGAGGAAGTAAATATTCAGACCTGCTGGGGGTTATTGAATCGTGGTTCTTAATTCCTGGAGACTCCAAATGCCAGAGTGCCCCACCAATAAGAGGAGGTATTTATGAAGACAAGATGGTAGATAAAATCTTGGGTCAAGTGCATCTCATTTCAAAAGTGTACAGGAGGACTGTGGATCCCTTCTGTGTTTATTTTTCCAATCGTATTAAGTGTAGTGAGAACAGGTATGGTAATTCCCTTTATCTGTAGGAGGTATGTTCCAAGACCACCAGTGGATGCCTGAAACTGTAGATAGTATTGAACCCTATATATACTGTTTTTTCCTATACATACATACCTGTGATAAAGTTTAATTTAGGCACAGTAAGAGGTTAACAACAGTAACTAATAATAATTGCAAAAATATACCAGCATCACTCCTCTTGCCCATTTGGGACAATTGTTATTAAGTAAAATAAGGATTACTTGAACACAAGCACTGCAATACCACCACAGTCGATCTAATAACCAATATGGCTTCTAAGTGACTAGTGGGCAGATAGTATAGACAGTGTGGATACACTGGACAAAGAAATTATTCACATCCTGGGTGGGATGGAGCAGATGGTGCAAGATTTCATCATACTACTTAGAACAGCTTGCAACTTAAGACTCATAAATTGTTTATTTCTAGAATTCTCCATTTAATATTTTCAAACCACAGTTGACCGCAGGTAACAGAAACTGCAGAAAGCAAAACTGCATAGAAGGGGGGAGGGGGTGGATGCTGTACACTCAGGAAATATCTGTACACTCAGAAATATCTATGATATTTTCTACTGAAGTTTGTACTAATTGATGCTTTTCTTATAAGCTATGTATATATGACACCAGCTGAAGAGTGCAGTTCCCTGTGGGAACATGGATTCCCTTGGTAGTTGACAATAGTATAGTCTTAGTAAATAATTAACCAGTTGTTAGTTAAGGAGCCATGGTCTAGCCCTAGATGCTTTAAGAATGTTCATGGAGTTAATGGCTGTCTGTCTTAGTTCTTTGTCGCTACAACAGAATACTGACACTAGGTAGTTTGTAAAGAAAAGAGGTTTATTTAGCTCACAGTTCCGCAGGCTGGCAAGTTCAAGGCGCATGGTGCCAGCATCTACTAAGCCTCTGGTGAGGGCTTCTGTGCTGCATCATGACACAGCAAAAGTTAAAAAGAAAGCAGACACATGTGAAGAGGCAAAACCTGAGGTGTGCCCTGGCTTTATAACAACCTGCTTTCAACATAGTCATTTATTGCTGTGAGAACTAATCCAGTATTGCCAGAGAGAGAATGGCATCAAACCATTTATAAAAGATCTGCCCCCATGACTCAAGCACCTCCCATTAGGTCCCACCTCCCTACACTGGGGGGTCAAACCTCAACATGAGTTTTGGTGGGGACAAAGGATATCCAAGCCACAGCACTATTTTAACAAGAGATCATTCTTCAGGACTTATTATCTGTTATTTTATGAATTTCTTAAATATTCAGGAACAAATGCTATGGTAGTATCTTTAGAAATAAAAACAGTATGTATACTCCATAGGCTATTTGAAAACACTGTTTGTTTTATTATAAATTAGTAATATTTAAAATGTAGATATCTTGTGTAAGTAAGTTAACTGTTACGCATGTTTTAAATGAATGAGGGATGACTGTTGTTTGCGCGAAGTTTCCCCAAGTTCCGCTACTTATCCCTTTCACCTTTGGGGTTCCCTTGCTCATAGAGCGGTATATACAGGGACTAAACCAATCAGGAAATGATGACTAGATTCATTTATTAATAACTGGGAGCAGTATTGTACTTCAGGGCAAGACTGCAGTAAAAATAGAATTGGCTAAGCAAGAGAAGAATCTGCTAAGTACTTGAACTCAGTATATTTAGGCTGCCGGGCTTCCTAACTTACCCAGGAGAGGACAGAGACGTGAGCAGAGGAGAATGTCTAGGTTTACACAGAAGGCTGAAAGTGAACCCACTGCCCACAGGAACACGACCTACTAGAAATAATCGGGTTGACTTCTTCCTTTAAGGTACAAGGACAGTGTGCATTAGATAAATGTGGCTTAATGAGGTTGATCCATTCCACAAATATTTACTGAGAATATTTTTAACCAGATACAAAGAAGAGTAAGACACTTGATCTCCTTTCTAAGATTTCATAAACCAGAAGCATCTTTCTCAAACTGTGTATTCCAAAAAACAGGTGATCTCTGCATAAGAGATTTGTGGTCCAGAAAAACTGAGAAATGTTGGGATATCAACATGAAATGGGTTGCCTTCGGCAGGATTTTTTAGAGCATTTAATGTGTGAATGATATTGTAATTCTCCAAGGGCAACAGAGTACATCATTTCCCAAAGTGAGAACAGGAATAAGGTTCCATTGGAACTCACTTTAAGAAACATTGCCCTCATCTACTCCTCTTCCCCTTTCTCCAGCCACACAGGTCTCTCTGCTGTTCTTTTTTTTTTTTTTTGAGACGGAGTCTCACTCTGTCGCCCAGGCTGGAGTGCAGTGGCGGGATCTCGGCTCACTGCAAGCTCCGCCTCCCGGGTTCACGCCATTCTCCTGCCTCAGCCTCCCAAGTAGCTGGGACTACAGGCGCCCGCCACGATGCCCGGCTAATTTTTTGTATTTTTAGTAGAGACGGGGTTTCACCGTTTTTAGCCGGGATGGTCTCGATCTCCTGACCTCGTGATCCGCCCGCCTCGGCCTCCCAAAGTGCTGGGATTACAGGCGTGAGCCACCCGGCCTCTGCTGTTCTTTATTCCAGGCTAGCAGCCCAGAGGCTTTGTCTTTGCTGTTCCTCCTGCTTGGAACACTTTTCCCCAGAAATGCATTTCCCTGAGCACTCTAGTGATTTTTTTTTTTTTTTTTTTTTTTGATACGGAGTTTCGCTCTGTCGCCCAGGCTGGAGTGCCGTGGCGTCATCTCGGCTCACTGCAAGCTCCGCCTCCCGGGTTCACGCCATTCTCCTGCCTCAGCCTTCCCAGTAGCTGGGACTACAGGCGCCCGCCACCACGCCCGGCTAATTTTTTGTATTTTTTTTTTAGTAGAGATGGGGTTTCACCGTGTTAGCCAGGATGGTCTCGATCTCGTAACCTCGTGATCCACCCGTCTCGGCCTCCCAAAGTGCTGGGATTTAGAGGCGTAAGCCACCGCACCCGGCCCACTCTGGTGATTTTATTGTTAAATTCTCCTCCAAAATTCTTGCTGTCTTTTCCCTACTTTCTTTTTCTTCATAGTAATTTTCATCCCCCAATGTGCCATATATTTTACTTATTTATTTTGTGTCTCATCTGAAAGTAAGCTCCTGAAGGCAGGAGTTTTGACTGCTGAATTCCAGTGGTGCTTAGCCCTGAATATATGACTGAAGGATTGGTGCAGAAGTGTCTTTAGTGACTAAGACAGATGTGCAATAACTTTGAAATTCTAAACAATGATAATATTGTTCTCATCTATGAGTATTTCACATTGTCCTTCCTCTCTGTGTTTGGAGATCTACTCCTTTAATGTTAATAATTTATGACTTAATTTTAAAAAGAAAAATTACTGTTTAATTCTAAAACTTACCTCACCAAGATTCTGCTTGTTGATAATAGAGAGGTTGGTGTAGATGAAAGGGAGTAGATCTGGCTTTAAAGTTACTTTGCAAAGCTATAAGGCTCTAGTTCAAAAAGAAAAGATACGTATAATGTATCCAGAGAAAAACCTAAGAAGAGCTTTTAGTTTTGATCTGTGGAAAAAAAAAAAAAACCTTTTATTTTAGATTCAGGGGTACACATGCAGGTTTGTTACATATGTTAATTGCATGTCACAGGGGTTTGGTGTGCAGATTATTTCATCATGCAGGTGATAAGCATGATTCCTGACAGGTAGTTTTCTGATCCTCACCCTCCTCTCAACCTCCACCCTGAAGTAGGCCCCAGTGGCTATTGTTCCCTACTTTGTGCCCATGTATACTCAATGTTTAGCTCCCACTTAAAAGTGAAAACAATGTGGTATTTGATTTTCTGTTCCCATGTTCGTTTGCTTAGGATAATGGCCTCCAGCTTCATCCATGGTTGCTGCAAAGAACATGATCTCATTCTTTTTCATGGCTGAGTAGTATTCCATGGTTTATATACACCACCTTTTCTATATTCAGTCTATTGTTGATGGGCATTTAGATTGATTCCATGTCTTTGCTATGATGAATAGTGCTGTGATGAACATACACGTGCATGTGTCTTTATGGTAGAATGATTTTATTTCTTTGGGTATATATTCAATAATGAGATTTCTCTGTTTTAAGTTCTTTGAGGAATAACCAAACTGCTTTCCACAGTGGCTGAACTAATTTACATTCCCACCAGCAGTGTATAAGCATTCCCTCTTCCCTGCAGCCTCACTAGGATCTGTTATTTTCTGGCTTTTTAATAATAGCCATTCTGACTGGTATAAGATGGTACCTCATTGTAGTTTGATTTGTATTTCTCTAATAATTAGTGATGTCGAGCATGTTTTCTTTTTCTTCTATTTATTTATATATTTTTGATACAGGAACTAGCTCTGCCACACAGGCTACAGTGCAGTGGCATGATTTTGGCTCACTGCAACCTCTGCTTCCTGGGCTCAGCTGATCATTCCACTTCAGCCTCCAGAGTAGCTAGGACTTACAGGCACTCACCACCATGCCCAGCTCACTTTTTTTTTTTTTTTTTTTTTTTTGACACCGAATCTCACTCCAGGCTGGAGTGCAGTGGCATGATCTCGGCTCACTGCAACTTCCGCCTCCTGGGTTCTAGCAATTCTCCTGCGTCAGCCTCCCGTGTAGCTGGGATTACAGGCGCATGCCGCCACGCCCGGCTAATTTTTTGTATTTTTAGTAGAGACGGGGTTTCACCGTGTTACCCAGGCTGGTCTCGAATCCCTGAGTTCAGGCAATATACCCGCCTCGGCCTCCCAAAGTGTTAGAATTACAGGCGTGAGTCACTGCGCCCGGCCCCCAGCTAATTTTTGTATTTTTTTGTAGAGATGGAGTTTCATCATGTTGCTCAGGCTGGTCATAAACTTCTGAGCTCAAGCGATCCATCCGCCTCAGCCTACCAAAGTGCTAGCATTATAGGCATGAGCCACCACGCCCAGCCACCTTTTTTCATATGCTTCTTGGCGTCATGCATGTCTTCTTTTGAAAGGTGTTCATATCTGTTCATGTCCTTTGCCCACATTTTAATGGGGTTGTTTGTTTTTTTGCTTGTTACTTTAAGTTTCTTATAGATTCTGGATATTAGACCTTTGTGGGATGCATAGTTTGAAAATATTTTCTCCCATTCTATAGGTTGTCTATTTACTATGTTGATAGTTTCTTTTGCTGTGCAGAAGCACTTTAATTAGGTCCCATTTGTCAGTTTTCACTTTTGTTGCAATTGCATTTGGCGTCTTTGACATGAAATGTTTGCCAAGACCTATGTCAAGAATGGTATTTCCTAGGCTATCTTCTAGGGTTTTTGTAGTTTTAGGTTTTACATGTAAATCTTTAAGCCATCTTGAGTTGGTGTTTGTATATAGTGTAAGGAAGGGGTCCAGTGTCAATCTTTTGCATGTGGTTAGCTAGTTATCCCAGCACCATTTACTGAATGAGGGCTTTCCTTTTTTTTGCTAATTGTTTGTTTTTGTCAGCTTTGTCAAAGATTAGATGTCTTAGGTGTGTGGCATTATTTCTGGCCTCTCTATTCTGTTTTATTGGTCTATGTATCTATTTTTCTACCAGTACCATGCTGTTTTGGTTACTGTAGCCTTGTAGTATAAAGTCATGTAATGTGATGCCTCCAGCTTTGTTCCTTTTGCTGAGGATTGCTTTGGCTATTCAGGCCCTTTTTTGGTTCCATATGAATTTTAGAATAATTTTTTTCTAATTCTGTGCAAAATGTTATTGGTAGTTTGATAGAAATAGCATAAATTGCTTTGAGAAGTATGGCCATTTTTACAATATTGACTTTTCCTATCCATGAGCATGGTATGTTTTTCCATTTGATTTCTTTCAGCAGTGGTTTGTAATTCTCATTGTAGATATCTTTCACTTCCCTGGTTAGCTGTATTCCTAGGTGTTTTATTCTTTTTGTGGCTCGTGTGAATGGGATTGCATTCTTGATTTGGCTATCAGCTTGGGCATTGTTGGTGTATAGAAATGCTACTGATTTTTGTATATTGATTTTGCATCCTGAAACTGCTGAAGTTGTTTATGAGATCTAGCAGATTTTGGGCAGAGACCATGTGAGGTTTTCTAGATATACAGTCATATCCATTTGCAAATGGAGACTTCTTTTCTTCCTATTTAGATACCTTTTACTTCTTTCTGTTGCCTGACTGCTCTGGCTAGGACTTCAAGTACTCTGTTGAATAGGAATGGTGAGAGTGGGCATCCTTGTCTTGTTCCAGTTCTCAAGGGGAATGCTTCCAGCTTTTGCCCATTCAGTATGATGCTGGGTGTGGGTTTGTCATAGACAGTTATTATTGTTTTGAGGTATGTTCCTTCAATGCCTAGCTTGTTGAGGGTTTTTAACGTGAAGGAATGTTGAATTTTATGGAAACATTTTTCTGCATCTGTTGAGATGATCATGTAGTTTTTGTTTTTAGTTTTCTTTACGTGATAAATCACATTTATTGATTTGCATATGTTGAACCAACCTTGCATACCAGGGATAAAACCTACTGGATTGTGGTGGATTAACTTTTTGTTGTGGTGTTAGATTTGGTTTGCTAGTATTTTGTTGAGGATTTTTGCATCTATGTTCATCAAGAACATTGACCCGAAATTTTCTTCTTTGTGTGTGTGTTTCTACCAGGTTTTGGTATTGGGATGATGTTGGCTTCATAGAATGCATAAGAGAGGAGTCCCTCTTCCTCAATGTTTTGGAATAGTTTCAGTAGGAATTGTACCAGCTCTTCTTCATATAGCTGGTAGAATTTGGCTGTGAATCTCCCTGGTCCTGGGCTTTTTCTGGTTGGTAGGGTAGGCTTTTTATTACTACCAACCAGAAATACAAGTTCTTGTCAGATCTTGTTATTGGTCTGTTCAGGGTTTCAGTTTCTTCCTGGTAAAATCTTGGGCGGTATATCTTTCCAGAAATTTATCGATTTCTTGTAGGTTTTTTAAGTTTCTTTTTTTTTTTTTCACATAGAAGTGTTTGTAACAGCCTTTGAGAACTTTCTGTATTTCTGTGGGGTCAGTGGTAATGTCCCCCTTGTCATTTCTCATTATGTTTGTTTGGATCTTCTTTTTTCTTTACTGGTCTAGCTAGCAGTCTATCAATCTTATGTATTCTTTCCAAGAACAAATTTCTACTTTCATTGATCTTTTGAATGTTTTTCACATCTCTATATTTCATTCAGTGTAGCTCTGTTTTTGGTTATGTCTTGTCTTCTGCTAGCTTTGGGGTTGGTTTGCTCTTGTTTTTCTAGTTCCTTTAGGTGGGATGTTAGATTGTTAATTTGAGATTTTTCCATGTTTTTAATGTGGGCCTTTAGTACTACAGACTTTTCTGTTAACACTGCTTTAGTCGTGTCCCTGAGATTCTGGTATTTGTTTTTATTAGTTTCAAAGAACTTATTGATTTCTGCTTTAATTTTCTTGTTTACCCAAAAGTAATTCAGGAGCAAGTTGTTTAATTTCAATGCAATTGTATGGTTTTGAGTTATTTTCTTAGTATTGATTCTGTTTTTATAGTGCTGTGGTCCAAGAGAGTGGTTGGTATGATTTTGGTTTTTTTGAAATTGTCAAGACTTGTTTTATGGGCTAATTGTGTGGTTGATTTGAGTATGTGCCATGTGCACATGAGTAGAAGATATAGTCTGTTGTTTTTTGGGTGGATAGTTCTGTAGATGTCTGTTAGGTTTATTTGGTCCAGTGTCAAGTTCAAGTCCTAAATATCTTTGTTAATTTTCTACCTTGATGATCTAATGCTGTCAGTGGGGTGTTGAAGTCTCCCACTATTATTGTGTAGTTATCTAAGTTTTTTCATAGATCTCTAAGAACATGATTTATACATCTGAATGCTCCTATGTTGGGTGCATATATATTTATAACAACCAGATAGTCACATTTTCTTGTTGAATTGAACACTGTAGCATTATGTAATGCCCTTCTTGGTCTTTTGTGATTGGTGTTGATTTAAAGCCTGTTTTTTCCAAAATTAGAATAGCAAACCCTGCTTTTATTGTTTTCTGTTTGCTTGGTAGATTTTTCTCCAACCCTTTACTTTGAGTCTATGGGTGTCACTGCATGTGAGATAGGTCTCTTGAAGACCACATGTAGTTAGGTCTTGCTTCTTTATCTAACTTGCCACTCTGTGACTTTTTATTTGGGCCTTTAGCCCCTTTACATCCAAGGTTGATACTGATATGTATAGATTTGATCCTGTCATCATGATGTTAGCTGGTTATTATGCAGACTTCACTGTGTAGTTGCTTTATAGTGTCAGTGGTCTATGTACTTAAGTATGTTTTTGTGGTGGCTGGTAATGGTCTTTTATTTCCATATTTAGCACTCCCTTAAGGACCTCTTGCAGGGCAGGTCTGGTGGTAACAAATTCCTGTAGCATTTGCTTGTCTGAAGAGGATCTTATTTTTCATTTGCTTATGAAACTTAGTTTGGCTGGACATAAAATTCTTGGTTGGAATTTCCTTTTTTTTTTTTTTTTTTTTTTAAGAATGCTGAATATAGGCCTCCTCTGCTGAAAGATCTGCTGTTAGCCTATTGGGGTTCTCTTTGTAGGTGATCAGCCTCTTCTTTGCTGCCTATAATATTTTTTCTTTCATGACGACCTTGGGAAATCTGATGATTATATGTCTTAGGGATGGTCATCTTATATAGTAACTCTCAGGGTTTCTCTGCATTTTGTGATTTTGAATGTTGGGCTCTCTAGCAAGGTTGGATAAATTTTTGTGGACAATATCCTCTAGTATGTATTTCCAAGTTGCTTGCTTATTCTCCCTCTCTTTCAGGAATAACAATGAGTCAAAAATTCAGTCTTTTTATATAACACCATATTTTTTGGAGGTTTTGATCATTATTCTTTCTTCTTCTTTATTTTTGTCTGACTGAGTTGATTCAAAGAACTGATCTTCAAGCTCTGAGACTATAGCATAGCCAGCCAAGGGAAGCCACAAGGAGTTAATGTGTAATTCTTTTTCTCAAATCAGGAAGGCTTCTTTACAGGATCTGTATAGTACCTGCAGAACAGTGAGAAGTCATCTGAAACTTTAAGAAAGGCATGCATGGTTACAGCAAGGCAGAGACCAGCAGAAAGGACTGCCTATAAGAGAGGACTAAAGGTATTAGCCACATGGAGAGAGAAAGAAAAGAGAATAAAATTATGAAACATAAAAAATTAATTTGGGAATCCCTGTTTTGGTAAGTCAGAGATAATAACAATGTCCACTAGAGGAAGAGAAAAATAAAGAACTATTTCTAACTTATATGAGAAAGGGTTGAGGGAGAGAGAAGGGATGATTAGCTGAACAACCACTACCAGAATTTTTCCCAAGAAGGAATGGAAGTTCCCTATGTCATGGTGGAATTAGAAGTATAATTCGTGATTTCCAAATGCCGAAGCGTTTACTTAACTACCTTGTCTTTCTAGTTAAGCCCCTGCAGAACTGGGCTGGCAGTGTGTGAGCCATGAAGACTCCTTTTGCTTCTGTAGATAAAAGCAGAGTTTCAAAACCCTTAGTCATATATAAAAACTTTCTTGAATTTTGCATATCCTCAAAATATCTGCACTTTTATTCACTTAACATTTTTATTAAATTGACTTATTTGAATTAATTGCTTTTTAGTAGAGACAGGGTCTCACTATGTTGCCCAGCCTGGTCTCAAACTCCTGGTCTCAAGTGATCTCCTGCCTTGGCCTCCTAAAATGTTGGGATTATAGGCATGAGCCAATGCTCCCAGCCAAAAACGAACTCATTAAAAAAAAAATCTAGCGTCATCCTAAGAAGTAATATCCGTGAAATGAGATTGATATGTTATTTTTCTAATTCTTGATACATTAAATAGACATATTAAAAGTTACCCTACCCTGGCCGGGCAGCAGTGGCTCACACCTGTAATCCCAGCACTTTGGGAGGCCGAGGCGGGCGGATCACAAGGTCAGGAGATTGAGACCATTCTGGCTAACGTGGTGAAACCCTGTCTCTACTAAAAATACAAATAATTAGCCAGGCGTGGGAATACAGGGGTGCCTGTAGTCCCAGCTAGTCGGGAGGCTGAGGCAGGAGAGTGGTTGAACCCGGGAGGTGGAGCTTGCAGTGAGCCGAGATAGCGCCACTGCACTCTAGCCTGGGCAACAGAGCCAGACTTCGTCTCAAAAAAAAAAAAAAAAAAAAAAGTTACCCTACCCTAAAAGTAATCATGTGTCAATAATGGTCCAGATACCAGTGTTGGAAAAACAACAGGCTAAGGCATGGACTAAAAGCAGGCTGAATGGCTGCTCTACGTCTTCCTTCATTGGTCTTGGCCTACTGAATCTTATTTACCGCTGCAGTGTTTTCTTGGAGTGTGTGTGCACGCACACACTTGTGTGTCTTCTTTGAGGGGTAGAAAATAGTGCGATGTGGTAGGATGAGGGAAAGGTTTCTGGCCAAGAGACCATGTCTCTACTAAGGCTTACAAAAAGAACAGAAGCATCAACCATTTAGTCCCTATGGACTTAACCACAGACTTCACCATGGACATCCCAAGATGGAGGCAGCCAGAGCTAGTCACTGGACACCAGCCACCCGAGAAAGATGGGAGCCCAGAGATACTTGGAGAGTAAGCAACTGCAGCGCAGAGAGGCAGCTGGCAGCCAGAGCTAGTCACTGGACACCAGCCACCCTAGAAAGATGGAAGCCCAGAGATACTTGGAGAGTAAGCAACTGCAGCGCAGAGAAGCCGCTGTGTAGGACGGAGTGTGCTCTCCCTACAGAATCCCTCACTGGTCACTCTTTTGGTCCAATCCTATGCCACTGAGGGTTCCCTTAGCAAAGAGACTGGCATTAGAGCCTTGTCCTCAGTGTACAGTGAGTTGAAAGATGCCTTGAATGTAACCAGTAAATATTGGTCAAAAATATTATAATAAAAGATTTCTGAAACTTAAAGCTTGTTTCTCAGGATACTTGACATACAACCAGGCCTAGATCCACATATGTTTATCACTGTTCTATTAGCAAAACCAAGAGAAAGATTTTAATAAAAGGTTAGCTCAACATCAAATAGAAATTTTTAAAAATTTCATTAGGGAGTTTTCCAAATATACTCAATAATAATTAGTACAAGGTAATAAATCTCCATCCACCAGCTTCAAAAATTATTAGTCATTTTTTCACCTATTCCTCCTTCCATTATTTTTGCAGGATTATGAAATTCTTCAATATGCACCCCAATGACATATTTGTTTTATATATAACTGTCATGCCATTATCACATCTAACAAAATTAACAATAATTCATCTATAGTATCAAATTACTTAATCCATAATCTGATTTTCCTGATTATTTCAAGGATTATCTTCACAGGTTGTTTGTACCAAACAGGACATACAGTCCACACGTTGCAGTTAATTATGATCCTTAAATCTCTTTTACTCTTTTGTAGTCTGACCCCTGTTTTTTCATGTCATTGATTCCATATGGAAATCAGGTCACTTTGCTTATTGAATGTTTGACATTCTGGATTTGATTGATTGCTTTCTTCAGATGATTTCTAACTTGATCCTCTGTCCCCTGTATTTCCTGTTAGGTCTAGAGGCTTGATTAGATTCAGATTCCGTTGCTTAGGCCATAAAACCTCTCAGTGGTTCTGGGTACTTCTGATTTTGTCATATCATGAAGTACATGGTATCTGCTTATCAGACTTGTAGTTTATAGTGTTTTTCCCCCTTTATCTTCGTTGTTATGTCTCTTTGGGGGAATTTAAATTTATGCTACCTTTATTATCTTTCTCCAGCCAAAGTTCAGAAAAGTCTGGATTTACATAGACAAAACAATCAGTCAAAATACAGTGGTCTAGATACTGAATTTCTTGGACAAGTTGTATTTGAAAATGTTTACTCTTTCATACACAAAGGGATTGATTAAATAGGGGAAAAAGTTTGTAAGTTATGAACACTTAAGAGGGATTACTGAATGTAAAATTACAAAAAGCACATCACTAATTACTATGTTTAGAAACTACACTATTAAAAGTTAGGATGAAAATAGCTGGAATTTAATGAGTCATCTGCTAATTATTCAGCTTATGGATTTCTAATGCCACTTACTTCTAGCCTTTCTGCTTTTCCTTAGGGAGTTTTTGGTGGTATTTTTACTGCCTTTTAACACCTCCAGAAACGACTCTATGCTTACAACTGACCATAAAATGTACATGTGGAGAGACACATGAAATATTATGACTCAGGATTCATGCTGTGTTACTGAGGTAAACCATGAGCAGTTTACACCACAGTTGAAGATTTTTCAGGGGCAAATGCAGAGTAGAAAGTAGTTAGAAATCTGCTGACTACCTGGCATGCTATCTATGGGAAGAAACGTAACTTATCAAAGTCAATGTACTCACTGAGGAAAGAGACAGGCTCCTCAGGTGCTAGATGTGTTCTATGGCTCCAACTCAGGGTTCTCAGCCATGATTGCACATTGGAATCACTTGGGCAGCTTTTAATCTCACTGATGTCCAGAGTCAACCCTGAAATTGAATCTGGGTCTCTGAGGATGGGCCCCAGGCAACGGTATTTTAAAAAAAACCTCTCAGGTGATTCTAATGTGCAGTCAGGGTTGAAAATATCCAATCTAGTCAATAAGAGGTGGCATTTACAAGTCTTACTGTGTGCACAGGACTGTGCAGAAAATCTCTTGCACATAAAGAAATTGATGCTTGGAGAGATGTTATTTGCTCAATGTCTTGCCTCAAAACAGTTTCACACCTAGTCTATTTAGCTTCAGAACCAGAGGCTTTTGAGCTTACTGTGAACATTAACCAAAGTAAGACATTGAATTCATGTCATAACTCAGAACACGCATGATAATGAAACACAAGTTTAACAAATAATACTTATTAAGTATGATGCATGCTGATATTTTAATTAAAATAATACTAGTCAAAACTTAGTAAAATGACTTCATGACTTGGAGTTTGAAAAACTTTTCTAAACCATGACAGTACAGGTTTCATTTCTGTTCCTGCAAGTGGCAAGATCTTTTTCCCATCAATGCCTTCTCATTTTGTTTGCTTTCTTGCTTGGAAAATCTTTCCTTTTTCCTCTGCATTTAAAAAAGACCATCTAATTGCTTCCTCGCTAGAAAGTGTTTCCAAGACTATTCCAGTCCATAGTGTCTCATTTTCTGATGCCTATTTTTAATACACGGAGATCATCCCACACTTTTTACACTAAATTATATGATATATTGTGATGTTCTGTAATTGTCTTATATCTTAGATAGTTATGTCTCTTTGAGGACAGTGACTACATTCTATGCTTTTGCTTCTATATCCTTCGAAATGTCTAGCAAAAGCACATGTGTGTTAGGGACATCACAGATACTAAAAAACAGCTATGTACCCTACACAAGTCAACCTTTGAGCTTTCATTTCTTTAGCTCTGAAATGAAAGGGATGTTTTAGGTTATTCTAAAGTCTCTTCCAGTTTATTAGTCTAAATTTCTATGATATATGAGGATTTCTATAAAATGCACAAATGAAGAAAAAAATACAAAACTTTTTTTTTTAGCAACTACTGTAAAAGAAAAGTTCTTGTGTGAGACAAAAAAAGCCTGAAATTTTTTGTCACTTTTTGGTAGGCAAAATAAACACCTTTTCAGAGAGAAAGATAACATCTTTCTCTCTGAAAAGATAAAGTTACTGAAGTTTAAAAACAAAGCTGGGCTCTTTGGCACTTGGATACTGAAATGTGATTATTCGTAGGCCACTTTTTTTTCCCCCAAGTTGAATATATATATATATATCAGGGAATTTCCATGAGCTCTTATCAAATTAAATTGATTGCATAACTAAAAAGGCCTAACAATGAATGTGGGCTTGAGGTACATGGAGGCAGGTTTATAATTTAGGGAAAAATAATTGAATACAATCATGGTTTATATATTGTTTGTTTGCAGGTGGTTTGTGAAATGTCACAAATGTCACTCAGGATCTTCTCAGTGGCTCTGAGGCCAAAGGATGTGGCTGGTTGGCTCAATTACTAGCACCTCCATGACCCATCAGCATTCTCATTCTTCTGATCCTGAGACTGTTGGTAAAGGAGCAGAGAGGTGGTCAGTCCCCTTGGTGACAGTGGTGGTGATGTGTGTATACTGGGGAATGGGGATTGTAGTGGGCATTTATAGTCTTTATCTACTCAACATTCTTTTGCCTTCTTTATTAACAACACTTTAATTTTCCTTTGGGAAACCTCTTTCTTTCTACTCGGTCCCTGTGGTTTGGGTATATATGAAGGGTACATACAATTATTTCCCTTGACCTTTTTGTAGATAAAGGCAAATAACCCCAGCCTGGCAGTGTGCATTCCATCCCATAGTTACAATGGTTAGTTCAGAGATGAACGCAGGATCCACGTGGGTCTGGTGAGACATTCTTCAGCTTGCTTTCTTTCTGATGCGACTAATTGCTAAGGAGGTTGGATGTTAAGACTGGAGATGTAGGTCTTCCCTCTGTTTAGAGAAATAAAACCAGTGCAGTGAAAGCACAATGAAGACAGGGAGAGAAATTGAGTCCTGATGCTCTTTGAGTATCTGGAGTAAAAAGGATTTCTAAGAACGTGTGTGTGTGTGTGTGTGTGTGTGTGTGTGTGCGCGCGCCAGTTCTACTTATGGGATTTATAAACATATGAACCAATAAATTCCAATGCCCTTTGCTGCAGGTTTTGCTAACTCAGTTTGAGTTGTGTGCTGGCCACATCCAACTATCCTGACTTCACTTTTGCTCGCTGATAATCTCCTTTCCCATCTTAAAAGTTTGGTCCAGGCAAGACCATGTCTCCTGCTTTTATTGAGCCCAGGGCTTATTTCGTCTCCATCTGGTTACAGAAGTTTCTTCAACCTTTTGTATAGTCTCCTCTTGCCTTATTCTTCTACAAGTTCAACACAAGTGCTTCTTTCACAGCTGTAGGTGGCAGGAGGCAAAGAACTGAGATGTTCTGGTTCAGTCTCAGGGTAGTGATATGCAAGTGCCTTTGTGTGAATGAGGAAATGCCACTCTCTCCGAGCTTGGTGCTAGGACTGGTGCTCTGGAACCCAGGCTAGATCTTAACTCCAAATTGCCTGCCCACCTCCTCAGACAGAGGACACAGTGCAGAGTACAAACTGCACAACACTATACTGAAGTCCCATAGGTCCAAGAAGCAAGGGTTGGAACTATGAGGTAGAAAAACAAGTCCGTGGACAGTAGCAACCCTCTGCTGCTCATGCCCACTGCTGCTGTGGTCTCTTCCTAGGGTGACGATAGCTGCTGATGCTGGGAGCCTCCTGGGCATCACCACCTGAGGCTGTGGCCTCAGTAATGATCACATATGTTGATAATAGCTGAAAATATCACTTGTCACTGAAAGCAGCATTTTCCACTGTCTCAAGATGATACTTTTTCTGGGGGGTCTTCCTGAGTTGTTTGGCATCTTTACAGCCCATGTGTTGATGAAAGTGAATCGTTTTAGAAATCCAGTGGGAGGCCAGCTGGGGATTGGCCATTGGAAGAGAACAGAGCACCGGGTAAAGGAGGATACCTGGCAATTCTCCCATGCCACACATCAGGGACACCTTCAAGCATTGGTCTAGGGGCCCCAGCTGGCTTTTAGTTATTTCAGTCTTCTGGACGCCTGCGTGAGACCCTCATCATTGTGTTGGAAATGAGGAAGAATAACCAAAGAAGAAACGCGAGTAGCCTCGGGGAACGCAAATCCACTGGGCAGTAGCCACTGGAGGTGCACTCTGGGGGCCCGTGGGAGCGGGAAACCAGGACCCTAAAAGGACTGCCAGGGATTAGGGGCGGGGCGACCGTCTGGGAGCGAGGCGCGGGGTGCAGGGCGCAGGCCAACGACGAGGGTTGCCCCAGTGCCGGGTGGGCGCACTTGCGGTACCCTCGATGCCTTTGCCCAGGCGGAGGAACGATGCGACCTGAGCATAGAGGGGTTCAGGGCAGGGAGCGGTCGAAAGGGGCCGGCGATCCGCCCTGGGGCAGCTCGGGCGTGGCCTCCAGGGATCTCTCCGTCTCTACTTGCCTCCTCCCTCTTTACTTGCCTCCTCCCTCTTTACTTGCCCCCTCCCTTTTTACTTGCCTCCTCCCTCTTTCTCTTCTCTCACTCACCTCCCGGTCTAAAACCGGGGCCGGCGCCTTTAAGAGGGAGCGTTGGTTACCCTGGGGGCGGGAACCCCTCGGCGGCTCGCGAGGCGGCGGCGCTCGTCCGCGATGCTCCTCACTTTCAGCTCCAGCTCCCGCCACCGCCGCCTGTATCGCCGCCGCCGCCACCACCTCCTCTTCGTTGTCCTCCTTCCTCCTCCGCCTGGCAGCGTTGTTCTCTGCAGCGGAGGAGAGAAGTGCTATGTCAGGAAAGTTCCGGGAGGGACTACATGGAGCCATGCTCCCTGGGCTCTTCCGCGGGCGCCCGCGCGCTGCCCTTCGCTTGAGGTGAGGTGAGGCTCGGGATCCCCGGCCCGCGATCCCCGGCCCGCGGGACAGGTAGCCGCTCGGGGCGGGGAGCGCTTGCATCCGCTGCGCTGGGCAGGGCGAGCAGTTTGGCGGAGTGCGGGGAGGAATGAGGCTGGAGAGACCGAAGTTGTGCCGGAGAAGCTTGGGTTTTCGGGAGGGTTTTTGCAGCTGGACTGGAGTTATTTCGGTCGGCGCCACACGGTGGGGACCCGGCGGGGACTCGGTTTCTCCCGGGCCGCCCGCCCCCCTCCCCTGCCCGTCTGAGCGGTTAGGCCTTCTAGGAAAACGGTCGGCTGCAGAGGGGCACCCCATGCCGGCTCCTTTCCTGCTGGGCTGTTCTGGTTGAGAATTCAGTGCTGGGAGTGAGAGGAAGGAGATGAGCTCCACTTGAACTTTTACACGGTGGTCTCGCTGCTTGAGGGCTGAAATTTACCTTGTTTGCGAGAGCGAAAGGTCCTTTCGCGCTCCAACAGTTAAGAGAGGTTCCCTCTTCCATGTGGTTCAGCTTGCGGCGCTGTGTGTTGCATCCTTGGCCGGTTTTCAACGTCGCCCTGATTTCAGTCTTTTCTCCTCTGCCCCTTTTCGGAAACATTCTTCTTTTTAATAATAAAATATGTTGTGGAGGCTCAGAGTGCTTAAAAAAAAAATCCAACAACATATCTTTATGAAAATTTCCCCCAGGGCTTGCCCAAATTTTCAAAGAGATCGTTTAGTCTTGGATGAGACTGAGTCTCGACACTTAGGGAATACAGGCATCCCTATAGTAGCATGCAGGTTTTTAGTGAGGTAGGATGAAGTTTAAACCATATGTTTTTAAAATAGGATTTCTCTTTGTTTATTGGGTGAGCTTGTTTTTCATTATGTCTTAGATTAAGAAGCCTTCAACCAGTTCTAGGAGTAGTGTTTCTAAGAATCATGGATAAAAACCTCATGTTTCTTGCATAAGCTGATACTGCTTCAGACATTCTAATCCATTGACGAGGTATGTAATACGTGTTTCATTTAATGAAACCTAACATAAAAGTACATTTATTGCAGACGTGGATAAGTTTTTTTTCCCACGTGTCCCGTGGGTAAAGGAAGCCCCATTTTCTCACACCCCTAGGTCTCTGCCACACCTCTATTCCTGTTTGCCTTATTCACTCACATTGCCAACTACAAATCTAAGGTGCTGATGAAAAGTCCCTATATTTTGTAAAATGTTGCATAGCCAAAATTTTAGTGACATAATTGATTACATCAATTATGAGCATTCAGATCATTTTGAACAATAAAAACAGAATGTGGGAGCTTATTTAAATAAAAGAGTGCCTTGACGTATTTCTGGTATATGCGTTACGTACAATTTTGTGTGTGAAAAGTATACTACCAAGGCAGACGGGATAGTGTAGGAAACATATTGTTTGTAATGGGAAGTTTTCGAAGAAAATCATCCCAGAATAACCAGTAATACTGTAAAATTTTGTTTGGGATATAGATTTTTATCTCTAAGTACAGTTTTGTCACTTTGCTGTAAAGTATACCAGTACCGAAACTCAAAAAAAGAACCCACCATCTCAAGCATTTTCTGAAAATTTCAGCAAGCTGAACATTCTTGGAGAAAAATTTGCTTAGGAAAAATAAACATAACTAAAACCCCTATGTAGTTACTGTTTTACCTTAAGTTTGCTGGACTGCAAGCAAGAAAGTAAGAATTTAGTGTTCCTAAGTGGATGTGACTTAGTTCCTAGAGTTACTTGAGCACCTTGAGATTTTGTTTATGGTTTATTTAATTTGGGTTGATTGTTTTGTGAATGAGTATTTTGGAAATGATACACACAGAGGTGGATTTGTATATGTATATATCCATATCACACATATATCTATATTTATGTATCCATACTATATATAGTATAACTATATATACCATATCTGTATATGCTATTGAGTATATAAAAAACATGAAAACCATTTAGGGACCTAATAATACATGTGCACCAGGAACAGTAGGTCTAAAATATCAGCTAAAAATAGTTATTGCTAGGGCTTGTCATCTTTTCAGCATTTTAGTCAATATCAGTTAAGTTAAAAAGCACTGGTTTTCAGTATGTTCTCGAACTCTTAACAAGGCTTGGATCAGGGAACCATATCCTAACCACATTTATCTATTCAAATGGATTGAATTACCCTGCCAATGGATAATTGAACCAGGCATTTCTTAAGCTTCAATAGGCAAATTCTAGGTAAAATTTAGTTTGTCAATATAGTGTTTTCTTCTTTTAATACTTCAAAAATAACCTTTAGGACATTCTTCATAGATCTGGGATTTAGAGAGTAGACCTCAAAGGCATGAGAGGCAAACCTTGGGGAAGTTCTGGTACTCCAATTTGTGAAATGATGTCTTAAGCACTTGATTTGAGAGAGGGACCCATTAATGCTTGGAAAAACAATATGTATAAATACAGTGCTCCAGTTACTACAAGCAAAACTATTTCATTCACCTTTGTTATGTTTGTTACCACATTTCACAGCTGAAGCTGCTATATTTCAGCTTATGTATGAAAATTAGAAATGAAATGAAGTAATCTGTTAGGCGGTTTTTTTTTCTTTAATTTGCTAGCTGTTTACCAGAAATGTGTTTATATTTGCTGCAAATCACCTTTACTTTGTTGCAGGTGGCACTTTTTCCTTTTTTTTTTTGCAACTATGACATATGTATATTTAGGATGAGTTCTTAGTGTTTCCTTGAAGACACATGAATGAGTTTCACAGAGTTTATGTTGCATTTCTTCAACTTTCAAAACACAACATTTGAGATGTTTGACTACCAGCCTGAGATCATAGATCTTAAGAGCTGATGTGATCCTGGTCAGTTATAGTTTCAATTTCCGGGGAATTTTCTGTTTAAGGTTAGATGTGCCCTCAATTTGAACTAGATGATCCACAAAATTGGTACTTTTGCAACCACAAAACATGAGAACATTCCAAATGATTTGAAGTGTGGGCAGCCCAACATGCTTTAGGATTTGGTTGGCTTGAGGCGGTATGCCATGCTTGTAAAAATGGTTTCTGAAGCTGACAGCAAGCTGTTTCAGGCTTTAAGTTTGACACATAGGATAAAATGCATTCTAGCCTCTGCACCAGTAAATATGGACAAGATTTGTATCCACTTCTGTTTGTATGACAGAAGATTCAGAAAACTCAAGCGTGAAACTCTAGCTTAATACACAGGAAAGCTCATTCATGTTCATTATAAACATAATGAAGAGTTAGAAAAGTTGGATTTTAACACAGCTCTCGGGTCTTGGGGAATAGATGGTATATTTGCAGGTATGGGGGCAATCTAGTGGTCACCTATTGAAATTAATAATAGGGTTATTATTATCAGCATTTCCTTTGAGTGATATGCTAAAGAATTACATCTTCCCAGATACAATTTAGAAAAACCCCCAGCCAGATACTGTACCAATCACCTGGCATATATATTAATTGATTCTTAGATCATTTTCAAATTCTTAACATCATTTTCAATTTAAACCTTTATGTGTTATTATAGTTATAAGCTTTACATACCTTTTAGGGTTTTTGAGCAAAGCTTCTTGGTTAACTTCTTTCTCTCAATTGACTTAGCTCAGTCTATGTTATTAAAGCATTTGAAAAATATTTTAGGCAAATTCTTTTCTGTGGAAACTTCTAAGGATCTTCCTTGGGGAGGCTGGTGCAGAAGGGACATGATTCTGTATTCTAGCTGTTACCTTTCTCCTAAAATGAGGCATCTTTACATCTTCCTACTTTATACAATATAAAACAAAACAAAAACAAATGCGTAGGTAACTTTAGAGAGAGAACATTTGTAGGCATTTAAAGAAGCCTGAAGTTTAGATCAGAGTAAGAGTTTCAACTGAAAATTATTTGAGAATCAATTAAATCTATCCCATGTATTTGGTATGGTATTTGGTTGAGGCTGTCTGGTGCAGGATTTTTTGTTCAAGTTGATCCTGGGAGGATGTGGATACAAAGGGAGTTGGGGTGTAGGCATAACATCCATTGTCTTCAAGAGGGAAAAATGTTCAGGTAAGTGGGCTTTTGTAGTAAGATCCATTCTTTTCATCATTGTAACTTACTCCATTTCCCCTGTATTTGAAGCACACAGTCTTCCTACTCCATTTTGATTAACCCTGCATAAACCACGATACCTTCTAAAGTTTCACACTGTCTATCACTAGCAGAAAGTCTGTTCTCTCAGCTTGTTCCTACTCAGCACTTCTTCAGATGTTTTTCCTTCTTTTGCATTATTCATTTCTTGAATGATAGGAGTTTCGAGTATAAGTTGAATATCAGGTTTCTCCATTTTCTATAAATTGGATAAATTTGCACCCACTTACAGGTTTGGTGATATTGGGAACTTCTCATTTTTGTTTCTATAGTTCATGTATAGTTACTATTTCAAGGTTTCAAATCTGTTTTTTTTTTAACTTGTATTTAAGTTCAGGGGTATAAGTGCAGGTTTGTTACATAGGTAAACTTGTGCTGAGGGGCTCTGTTGTACAGATTATTTCATCACCCAAATATTAAGCCTTGTACCCATTAGTTATTTTTCCTGATCCTGTCCCTACTCCTACCCTCCACCCTCATGATATAATAGATTTTTTTCTTACTTTAGAAGTTTTTCTTGTTCATTATAGGAAATTTAGAGGCCAGGCATGGCCATTCATGCCTGTAATCCCAGAACTTTGGGAGGCCGAGGCGGGAGGATTCTTTGATCCCAGGAATTGGAGACCAGCCTGGGAAATATGAGGAGACCCCGTCTCTCCAAAAAGTAAAAAAAAAAAAAAGTTAGTCAGGTATGGTGGCACGTGGTTGTGGTCCCAGCTACTTGCGAAGCTAAAGTGGGAGGATTGCTTGAGCCCTGGAGGTTGAGGCTGCAGTGAGCCGTGATCATACCATTGCACTCCAGCCAGGACAACAGAGAAAGACCCTGTCTTCAAAAAGAAAAAGAAAGAAAAGAAAATTTAGAAAATCCAGACAAGCAAAAAGAAAAGAAAAGAAGAATTATACCCAGATATAACTATTATTAGCATTTTGGTATCTATTTTTATATACATATAGAAAAATACTATGATATTTTAATTTCTAAAAATGGCCCTTAGTGTAGATATATAGCTTTGTAATTTCGTGTAAAGATGAACCACTTCCCTTGTCATGGAATGATCTGTAACATTTTTAATTCTGAATAATATTATTCTATGGATGTATCATAGTTTATTGGGGATATAATTTTTTTCTTCAGCTGTACAGTAATGACTATCTTACAGTGCAATTTTTAAAAAATTTTTATTTATTTATTTTTTATTTTTTTTTTGTGACAGAGTCTCACCGTGTTGCCCAGGCTGGAATGCAGTGGCGCGATCTCGGCTCACAGCAACCTCCGCCTCCCGGGTTCAAGCGATTCTCATGCTTCAGCCTCCTGAGTACCTGGGATTACTGGTGCCGATCACTGTGCCTGGCTAATTTTTGTATTTTTCGTAGATGGGGGTTTCACCATGTTGGTTAGGCTGGTCTTGAACTCCTGACCTCTAGTGATCTGCCTACCTCAGCGTCCCAAAGTGCTGGGATTACAGGTGTGAACCACCGTGCCTGGCTATAGCTCAATTTTTATACATACCTATGGTTATTCCCTTTGGGTAAAACCCTAGACATAGAATTTTTGGGGAGGAATAAAAGGGCATTGATATTTTTCATTGCCCTCAAGGCACTTTATTATTCCCAATATAAAATCTGTAGAGCTAATCATTGTCTTCCCTGTTTATCTTCTACAGTTTTTTTTTTTTTTGGTAAGTGTAATATGAAAGAGTCAAGTCAGATAGGGTTTGAACCCAGACCTGATTGTCTAGTGCTTTTTCCAAATGAAATAACCCCATTTTATAGAGATTTAGCCTCAATCCAAAACCATTCATGAGTGCTCAGTTATAACTATAAATGTTACCTCCAGCTAAACAGGTAGAGTAGTTGAGTGTGCCATGAGAATGCTGTCCCTTTTTCAATTTCAGTTTACTGTATTGCCATCTGCCCTCTTGCCCACACATATTGATACATAATTGTGGAATAATAGAGTGAATGAATGTCATTTCCTGTATAGTCATCTCTAAGATGTAAAAATATTCTGTTTTCTGCACTTTGCTGCCAACTCCTGGACTCTTAACATTTAAAATAAATTTGGAAGGTTTAAATTTACAAAATTTAGCCTTGAGCTGTGTGTATATGTGTATGCACATGTGTTTGTTTACATCTATATTTTATCTATGTGTTTGTATCTTTCTTTCTTTCTGTCAATAATATGAAACTTCGTCTTAGCCAGAAATTACCTTTTGAAATCAGTTGAGTATCACTCTGGCTACTACAGAAGCATGTGGTCACTTCTAGTAACAAAACTAGAACTATAAAATGAGCAAAAGTCAGGAAAAGGTAGAAACTTAAACACTGATGGCTAAATTTAGAGAGAAATTCTCCCTTTTATTTTTGAAACTAAAATTATCTTTAGCCATTAAACATGTTCCAAGTGAATGCAGTTATATTTGCATTTTTCATTTTTAGAATTTGGTTCTGGATGTAGAAGGTAAACACGCATGTACTCCCAAATATGCTTTCTGGGACAGTTACTGTTTTCCAGACATTGTTTTCTTCACTGTGGAATAGTTTCCTTTCCTTCTTTCTCTAAGTCAGGCTTAGGTTATCTGCTCCCTTAATACCTGGTACTTACCTCTGTTTTAGCACTTGGATAAGTGCTAAATATGCTTTTTGTTTAAGTAAGTATCATTTTCCTTTTTACTATCTCAAATAAAAGGAACTATATTTTCAGTGTGGAATGTAACAGGCATGGATAGGTTAAACAGGTAAATTTTTTTTCATGAGGTCTTGTGGATGTTCACTGTTTATAGGAAAGTTCAGAATATCCTTTAGAAACTGATTTTGCCATGTTACTTTTAAAGAATGTTTATTGTGATGTACATTGTACATTTAAAATTGCATGAAGCATACCTTTAAGTTTAAAAAATTGAATACTCATGGACTTACTACTAAAGTTAAGAAATACACCTAGAATTCCTCTGTCTACTCATTCCTCACATGGAGGCAACTCTTGCTTTATCAACCCTCTTTGTGTGGTTATTTTTGGCCTTTTATTACATAAAGGGAATTTTACTACTGTAAATATTTATACTTTTATGCTTGCTTCATTTGCTCACTGTTATATTTTTTAGATTCATCAGTGTTGTTTGTAGCTGTAATTTGTTTTTTGTTAATTTATTGTATATAATGTATAATATATAGTAGAGATGATCAGCAAAGCCGAAAGTTGCTTCTTTGAAAATATTTATATATTTGTTTCTAACATGTTCATTTTTACTCTTTTTTTTCAATGTTTTTAGGTTTATTTCTGCCTTTATTCTAATTTTTTAGGTTGAGTGCTTAGCTCAGTTGTGAGTCTTGCTTTGTTCAGAGTGTAAATCTCGAATCATCACTTTAGCTGCTTATGTTTTCATACAATTCTAAGTATTTTCTTTGTTTTTAAGACAGGTTCTCATTCCTTTGTCCTGGCTGGAGTGCAGTGGTGTGATCATGGCTCACTGTAGCCTTGACCTCCTGGGCTTAAACGATCTCCTCACCTCAGCCCCCTGAATAACTGGGACTACAGGTGCATGCCACTATGCCTGTCTAATTTTTTTTATTTTTATTTTTTGTAGAGATGAAGTCTCACTGTGTTGTCCAGGCTGGTCTTGAACTCATGGGCTCAAGCCATCTTCCCATTTTAGCTTCTCAAAGTGTGGGGATTCCAGGCATCAGCCACCGTGCCTGTCCTAAGTATTTTCTATGATTTGTTTGATCCATGAGTTAATGAGAATCATGTTTCCTAATTTCTAAGCATATTTTGTTGTGGTTGTAGGTGATCTCTAAACTATTTGTGATATGGTCAGAGGATGTGGTCTGTATCTTACCAGTTCTTTGATGCTTGTTAAGGTTAGCTCCATGGACAATGGCAGGTGTTCTCTACAAATAAGTGTTCCACGTGTAGCTTTAAAACGATGTGTATTCTCTAGCTACTGGATGCAGTTTCATGTGTATCTATAAGATGAAAATTTTAAATGTGCTATTTAAATCTTTATCCTTCTTCATGTTTTTATCTACTTGATCATTTAATTACTGAGAGATTATAATTATGGATTTATTATTTTCATCTGGTTAATTCACCTTTTACTTTATATGTTTTTGAGGTTTATTATTAGATACATACAAGTTTAGATTTTTAAATATTTTTGTGGGAAATTAACCCTTTTGTCATATGTCATACCTTCTGTATCTCTAATAGTATTGTTTGAATTAAAGTCTCTTTTTCTTTGATAGTAATACAACGATGAAGGGTCCCCTATAGATTATGATGGGCTTGACACACCTTTCCCTACTTGTTGGCTTTAAAGTTGGATCTATATCCTTATGATTTTAGATGTGTCTCTTGTAAATAGCATATAGCTGGATCTTTGCATTTAACTGGAGAGTTTAGTCTCTTTATATTTAGAATGAAGACTGACTTGGATTTATTTATCATATTATTATGTATTTTCTATTCTGCTTTTTCTTTGTCTTCTTTCCTTTCTTGCCTTCTTTTGGATAGACTGACCCTCTGCCCCTACCATTTTTTTTTTTTTTTTACTGTTTTTATTTGGGGGGTCAGGAGATTACCTATAAGTTCTACATCTATTATTTTAGTGGTTACCCAGACAATTTTAATATATACTCTTTCTAGTCTAAAGTTAATATCTTTGCCTTCTATTACGGAATTGAATTGTATCCCCCAAAATTCATATGCTGAAGCCCTAATCCCCAATATGACTATATTTGGAGATAGGGCCTATAAGGAGGTAATGAAGATTAAATAAGACTATAAGGGTAGGGCCCTGATCCAATAAGATCTCTGTGGAGGTACAGAGATCTCTCTCTCCCTCTGCATACACAGAGGGAAGGCCATGTAAGATCATACGTGTCTACAAACCAGGAAGAGAGGCCTCACCAGAAATGCATCCCGATAGTACCTTGATCTTGGACTTCTAGCCCCCAGAACTGTGAGAAAATAAATTTCTATTGTTCAAGCCACCCAGTCTGTGGCATTTTATTTCTTAGGAATTGTTTAACTCTTATGATACCTTCCTCCAACTTGCATGTCATTGTTGTTGAGTATTTTAGTTCTAGCCTGTTTTTTCTCTCTCAAGTTAGAAATTACTTTTATTGCTTTATACAGTATCTGTTATATTTAGTTCTTTATTCATTATTATCTTTCCACCCAGTTTCTTCTTGTCTATCAGACCTTCTATCTGGGATCATTTCTTTTTTGCCTGACATATATCCTTTAATTTTCCTTTACTGAGTGTGTGTGTGTATGTGTGAAAGAGAGAAGAGGGAGAGAGAGAGATTTTTGTTTGTGACAATCCTTTTAATTTAATTTAATTTGCTGAAAGGAAGTATCAAAAATATCATTTCATTGTCTTCTGAATTTTATTATTATCATTGAGAATAAAGCAGTCAAGCTCATTTTTTTCTTTGTCAGGGAATCTATCTTTCCAAACTCTGGTTCCTTCTAAGATCTTTTGAAGATACTCTCTTTCTCCTTGAAGATATTATCTCTGTCTATTCTGAATTTTTGATCTGATGTTTTTGGGTATGAATTTTAACATCTCTTATTTGGCATTAGATAGGCTACATTGAGGACTAGCATTTTTCAGGAATTCTGGAAACTTCTATTTACAATCCTTTTGAATATTTTCTCATTAATTTTATGATCTTCTGGAACTCCAATTCCATGTCTGGTAGACTTTCTATGTTTTTCTTCCTTAGTTCATCTCTTTTATCTTTCATTGTTTTCGCTTGATTGTATTTGGAAAAATTTCTTATGTTCTAACTTGCAGTTTATTCACTTCAACTATGTCTAATACGCCACTTTGTCGATTTAGTTTTTAATATCAGTTATATTTTTCATATATGGAACTTTATTTTCAAATCTGCTTGTCTTCTGGTCATAATTCTAACCATTTATTATTTTTATATTCTTTGTCTAATAATTTTCATAACTGAAGTCTTTTGTGAGTTTGTCTTTTTTTCCCCTTGCCCTTAATCACTCATGTTGCTTTATTTTGCTTTATTTTGAGGTTTTTGTGGTTTTTTTTTTTTTTTAGACTGTGTTCACTTGCCTTGGAACTTTGTGGTAATTATTTCAGGCCTATGATGAAGGTGAGTTCCTCCAGAGGGGAAATACATTTGCTGTTGCCTGCTAGCTTGGGTGCTGTACTGACTTCGGCACATTTTAAATCAGATTTCTGTTTGATGATGCTTTATTTCTTAAAATGTACCTTGTGGTTACAGATCTTTTGGGAGAGATTATTTTCTTTTTTCCATGATGTATTTTCTTCATGCAATAAAATATAATTTTTATTTCCGTTTTCTTTTGACATGGTAGAGTTTATTTTTTGTTCACTTTTACCCTAGCAAATATTGGCCCCATGAAGTCCCTGGTTGCCATTGAGGTCTTCTGACAAATATTCTAATTCTGTAATCGCAACTCAAATGCTTTTAATTTGACTATACTAAAGACACTATTTTATTTCTGGGATCATAAACATGTATAAAATAGAATATGTTTGTTATTCAGGTTAATAAGCAGACCTTAACTAATCTTACTGTAGAGTGTTTGCTTTTGAAAAGAAAAAGCAGACATTAATGTATTACAATATGATAGCAAAATACCTTTCTCTTTTTAATTTCAATTTTTAATTTGACATTTTTCTTTGTTAATAAATTAGAAATTTCTGTATATGATGTTGTTGTCAGCACTTTCTGTTCTTGAGTCTCAAATTTCATTTTGTTTACAGTCATTTAGTATTTAGTTTTGTATTTTATTTTTTAGAAAGTTATTACCAGCTCCTTGTTTTAAGTTTGGTTTCATCTTCCAGCTGGAAAGACACTGCCAGTCACATTTAGCTTTCTGTTCCTTCATATATCTAGGCTTTGCCTTTAAAATGGTAGTAGGTAAAGTTAAAAAGCCACCCATGGTTCACAGATTCCTTATTTATATTCTCAAAAGCAAGTTAAAGATGGCAGACTGCAGGGTTCTTCTGGGTACTTCACTTTTAAAAATGAATAGTTATTTTATGCTTATTTGAAATGGTACATCTTGGTAAACATTTTAAAGAAATGTTTGTTTTTATTCTTTTTATTTTTTATATTTTAGTTTTTATAACATCCTCAAATTTTTACTTTTAATCCTACATGATATGGTGATGTGGATGCAGCCTTGGTTATGATGAACAGTTAGTTACTAGAAAGAGTTGAAGAACTTCAGCATTATATCTCTCAATACTCAGTTGCTGTAGGTTAACAATAAAAGCAAGTATAGTAGTAAATGAAGCTGAATAAATAAAAAAAAAGACTAAGGTAATTAGCTTGATTATTTTTGGGGAATGATTCCATTCATCAGGTGATTATGGACTAAAATTAAGCTTCCATGTCATAAAATTAAGCTTTTACTATTTTCTGTGCTCTTTTTACATTTTCAGTTTTAAAGTCTTTTTGTCCTTTTACTTTTCCTCACCTTGAGTAAACAGGCACCAAAATGGAAATAATCTTTGAAGCATACATAAAAGAATCTCACTTTGGTAAGATCTTTGCTCATATCTAGATTCTAGGTTGGAATAAAGTTCCTGAAAACAGTCCCTCTAGTAGCTATTTTTTTTAAGTAGGTAGAAGACACTCCATATCAAAAGCCACATTTTATAAAGAATCCATTCAGTTTGTGGCCCTTGTAGGAGGGAGAATTTTCTTTTTTATCTTATACAAACTTGAGAGTTGATCATTTCACTGAATGTTGTTTCTCCCAGACCCTATGTTCAAGTCTGATTTTTTTCCTGCTCAATTCCAGTGTAATAAATATTCTGCATATGAGAATTTTCACATTTGTTTCATTACCTATTATACAAACTCAGCATTTGGGCTACATTGTTGCAGTGGTTCCCGCCCTAATTGAATATATATTGAGTATACACATACATACACATATACACATCACTTTCTGGTGTTAGTCAATCTCTCATGGGCCCTATTTGCTAGAAGAAATAAAATGAGGATTGAGCATGAGTGAGGTATAATACAAATGGAAAAACTTTACATAAGTTTAAGCAGTGATATTTATAAACAATATTTCATACTTTTGTTTCTGCACCTTTGGTTTGAGAGAAAATCCAGGAATTGTGTTTCTGACTATTGTGTGCACGGTGAGCCATTGAATTTCCTATGGGCCTTTGGTCTTACCAGTCTTAATATCAGTTGCGTCAGCTCTTTGTAATCTTGCAAAGCTTTTAGTGTTGCTTTAATCTTTGAGCAGAGAACTAGAAGACTAGTGGCAGGTGTCTTACTATGTGGGGACAATAACTCACGACACTATCAGTGGGAAACCCAGTAACAACCAAACACCACAACCTCCCACTGGACCCTTTCTCCCTTGTGACTGTGGTGCATGATGATAAATTGTTCTTTGGTGTTAAGAACACAGCCATTTTATCATTTTTTTTTTTTTTCATTTTTTTAAAAGTTCAAAATGAATAGTGCAGGTTTTAAGACTTTTTTTTTTTTTTGCTAAGGCGTATTTTTGGTGGGGAGTGAGCAGGGTTTATGTTGGTAGGTGACATGCAGTACTTTGAATTTAGAATGATAATTATGTAGCCCTTTTACTTGGAGTAGTCCTTTCCATTTGTTGGTTGCACAGGAAACTTGACTGAATATTAAAATTTAGAAATAGTAGAAATGGGATTGTTTTAGAGGAGTTAGATTTTGTTTAGATGAATTCTGCTTTATAGCAGGATTCAGTAGAGTCTTTCTGCTAGTGAGGTTTCAAGAAACATTAAATATTCTTGAATTTAAAATGGTTTGCCAGCAATTTGATTTTAGAAGACTTTTTTTCAGGACCACATGCATATTGTAAAAATTTATCTATTATAGTGAAAGACATCTGTTTTTGGTCTTTATTTATTTTCTTTCTGCTCTTATTCCCCAGGACCTATTCTTTCCCACTCTTTGCCTACCAAACTATAACAAATAAACTATAACTTCCAAGACTAAAATACACTAGTCTTTAGCCTACTACTTAGAGATTCATCTTAGTGGATAATACCATACTATCATAGAGCATGAGATTTAGAGAGTGTTATAAGAAAACATGTACACATAAATGTTCTGAGAAGTGAGTCATGAGGCAATTTCTTCATTGTGTTAACGTCATAGTGTGCACTTACACAAGCCTAGATGGTAAGCCTGCTCTACACCTAGGCTATATTATGGTGTAGGCTATTGTCTCTGGGCTACAAACCTGTAAAGCATGTTACTGTATTGAATACTGTAGGCAATTGTAGCACAACTGTAAGCATTTATATATCTAAACGTAGGTACAGTAAAAATATGGTGTAAAAGAGAAAAAATGGTACCCCATATAGAGCACTTACCATGAATGGAGCTTGCAGGATGGAAGATTACTCTGTCAATGAGTGAGTGGTAAGTGAACGTGAAAGTCTGGGATATTAATGTACACCACTGTAGACTTTATAAACACAATATACCTAGGTAACACTAAATTTATTTTTAAAATTTCTTCAATACCTTACTGTAAATTTTTTACTTTATACACTTTTAAATTTCTTAAAACTTTTTCATTTTTTGTAATAACATCTTAAAACATGAATGCATTGTACATTTGTATGCAAATGTTTTCATTATATCTTTAGTCTATATGCCTTTTTCTATTAAAATTTTGTTAACTTTTAAGCTTTTTTGTTAACTAAGACACAAACACACACAATAACTTAGGCCTACACAGGGCCAATATGACTGTCTTCCACTTCTATAGCTTGTCCCACCGGAAGGTCTTCAGGGGCAATAACACATGGAGCCGTCATCTCCTGTGATAACAATGCCTTCTTCTGGAATACTTCCTGAAGGATGTGCTTGAGGCTGTTTTATGTTAACTTTTAGAAATCTTAATAAGTAGTACTCTAAAATAAAAATTAAAAATATAGAGTAGTAAATACATAAAGCAGTAACATCCTTTATTATGTTTGTTCAGTATTATGTGCTGTATGTGCTAGACTTTTATACAACTGGCAGCACAGAAGGTTCATTTATGCCAGCATCACTGCAAACACATGAATATTGTGTTGTACTACAAAGCCATGATGGCTACGATGTCATTAGGTGATAGGAATTTTTCAGCTCCATTATAATCTTATGAAAGGAATTTTTCAGCTCCATTATAATCTTATATAGTGGTCTGCCCTTAGCTAAAATGTCATTAAACAGTACATGACTGTAAATGAGGAATTATGTTTTCACTGTTTTTCACTCTTGTAGCATCCTGAGTTTTTCTTCACAGAACATACATCATGGCATAACCCAGTAGTTACCATGTATTTAGTGTGAGTCTCCCTGATAAACTTGTAAGTTACATAAGATCAGGAGATATATCCAGTTTGTTTCCCATTGTAAGCAGTGCTTAGTCAGAAGCTGGCTTAGAGCAGGTGCTTAGCAACTGTTTGTTAAGGGAAGGATGGAAATGTATTTAAAGAAGTGTGTAAGTCAAGTTGAAAAGTATATGCCAAAGATTTATATAGTATACATGGATAGCGTGGTGGAAGACTGAGTATCAGGGAAAGATGGCAAGTGAAGGTAATTTCAGTTGGCACATGATGACGCTGTCAACATTTCTTTTGTCTTTATCTGGTGGCCACTTTGAATACTAAAACTGAAGTCTTATTTCATAGATTTTAAAATTCTAAGTATTTTTAGTATGACCTTTAGAACCTTTTTTTCGGAACCTTCCCAAGTTAACCATAATTATTTTGATCATAGCAGTGAATCAAGGTCAAAACAGATTTGCCGTTTTTTTTGAGGATGAGTCAACATTGCTCTTCACCAATCCTATTTTGAAATGGTGTACGTTAGAGCAGAATGATCTTTATTTCAGTGATGTTTCCCTTGTGTTATTTTCTGGTTTCCCACTCATGACAAAATTTCATAGTTCTATATTTTTCTTTGTGTTCATTATTGGAATTTGCTATGGTAATGCATTACATTTACATAGTGCAAGACCAAAGGACTGAGGATCCATCCTTTGATTTTTTTTTTTAAGTGTGTGTGTGTATGGTTGACTGTTGTATATACAATCATGAGGTTATTTGAGGTATCTGATGGTGTTGTGAAGGTCTTCTGATTCTACGTTCTATGAAATTTCTATTATATCCTTGGAAACGAGGTACCTGGTTGATGGGGGAGAGGTAGGGTGGTAGGGTAGGGAGTCTAACAGATGTGTCTGTTACGCCAAGAGATTATGCTTGAACCATCTCAGATAGTCATGTTATCTGATGTGGGAAGAAAGAGGAGACCGTGGTATATATATGTATGTCTTTCACTTGTTTTTAGTAGACATCATGTCATATATGGTCTTGGTACATGATTGTTGCCTGAGACCTATTTGTTGAATTGACTTGGCTGGAGCTCTCAGGGATAATCACAGTCAGCAACAAAAAGTGTTATTATGAAAAACAAGTAAGTCAGATTACAGTTGCATCTGGGGATAGAGGAATAATCTGGGCATAGTTGTAGTAGACTATTCCTAGAAAGTTGAGTAAGAATTATATAGAATTCTGCCACTGTTTAAAGTAGTGAAAAGACAAAAGAAGCTGTACCTTTTTTTTGTTCTGAAAAGAGATATTTGAAAGTCACTTTTCTGAAATAAAAGGGTGAGTTAGAGGAAGAGAAACGAAGGCATCTGATCAAAATCACAGCGCAGAATCTTAAAGTGAGAAAGAGGTTTAAACTCAGTTTGAGGTGAGGTATGGAAAAATAGTCATTTGCAAGGATGAAGGAGTAGAATCCTAAATGTCACTGAAAGGTTGGTGTTGTAGAGGATGTGATTTTCTTTTCTGACTTAAGTGAAACTGCTAGTGCGTATGTATTGAGCACTATGTGTCAATACTTGACATTTGCTATCTCGCTTAATCTTTGCTATAGCTTCATGAGCTAAACTGCACTATGATCATCTCCATTTTTCTGATGAAAAACCTGAGGTTCAGTAACCTGCCCAGTGACACACAGTTTGTAAATAGCAACCAGGCCCTCTGACCACTGCCAAGGTGGGCACAATGAGCTTCTGGAGGAAGAGTGTGGGAGTGCTCAATAGATAGACTATTGTTTCCCCGACTGACTTTTTATTCCCTCCAAAGAACACGCCAAAATCATTTGTAGTGAGAGGCAGTGAAGAGAGTACCAGCATTTTTAGAAGAAATACCACTGATATGATGGTATAAACATTTAGTTTTGATTAGATAAACTAATTCTAAGTCCTTGGAAATTTGTGGTAGATTAAGGAAAAATTAAATGTCTAATTGTGAAGATAGGCATATGGGGTCAGATGAGTACAGAGTTGCTAAGGGAACAGGTTAAAAAAGTGAGTGGCATGCTGAGCTCTACCCAGAAATTCAGTTCAATGCTAAAGCTGGATGAAAAAAAAATTCTCGTGGAATAGCATGAAAATAACAAAATAAGCATGCTTTTTTGGCTCATTTTGCTTTTTTTAAAAAAATTACACTGATTCTGAGGTAATATTTGTGGAAACCAGAAAGGTGACCTAGAGATTAATATAAAAAGATAAAGACTGTTTTTTTAGATTACTAGGTAAGTAATTGCAGGAAATATGGGGTACACTTAAAAGTAGTGACTAGGTAAAGCACCATATTTAAATTTTATTCTTTAGGGGATAACAAAATCCTATTTTCATAAGAAACATGTGCCCTTTACCGATGAGAATACATTTCTTGCATAATAATAGTAACACTTACTTAACAATTGCCATTTGAGTAGTTCCTCCTGTCACTAGTTTCTAAATGTCTAAATACCTTATTTTGTTTTACCCATGGACAGCAGGCATGATGAGATAGGCCGGAGAATGCTTATTTTGCTGTCTTAACGTATTTCCTAAGGAACAGAGTTTTTTTTAAGGAATATGTTTTATGATCATTGAAAGCAAATATTAACATATATTTATAATATGAAATGTTCAAGAAGATTTTATTTTCTGACTATAAGAAAACTACTCATTTTACAAGATTTGGAAAGTAAGGGAAAGAAAAGCTGGAGGAGAATGTACCACAGACTGTCCTACTGGTCGAATTTTTTTTGTTGTTGTTTGTTTTTTTTTTTTTTTTTTGAGACAGAGTCTCGCTGTGTTGCCCAGGCTGGAGTGCAGTGAGCGATATCAGCTCACTGCAAGCTCCGCCTCCCGGGTCGACGCCATTCTCCCGCCTCAGCCTCCAGAGCAGCTGGGACTACAGGCGCCCGCCACCACGCCTAGCTAATTTTGTCTTTGTATTTTTAGTAGAGAAGGGTTTCACCATGTTAGCCAGCCATCCCTGACCTCGTGATCTACCCGTTTTTTTTTGTTTTTTTGTTTTTTTTTTGGCAATTTAGTTGGGTTTTTCTTTTTCTTTCTTTTTATTTTATTTTACTTTAAGTTCTGGGATACATGTGCAGAACATGCAGGTTTATTACATGGATATACATGTACCATGGTGGTTTGCTGCTCCTATCAACCCCCATTTAGGTTTTAAGCCCTGCATGCATTAGGTATTTGTCCTAAAGCTCTCCCTCCCCTGTCCCCCTGCACCCCGACAGGCCCCAGTGTGTGATGTTCCCCTCCCTGTCTCCATGTGTTCTCATTGTTCAGCTGCCACTTAAGAGTGAGAACATGCTGTGTTTGGTTTTCTGTTCCCGTTAGTTTGCTGAGAATGATGGTTTCCAGCTTCATTCATGTCCCTGCAAAGGACATAAACTCATTCATTTTTATGGCTGCATAGTATTCCATGGTGTATATATACCACATTTTCTTTATCTAGTCTATCATTGATGGGCATTTGGTTTGGTTCCAAGTCTTTGCTATTGTAAATAGTGCTGCAGTAAACATATGTGTACATGTGTCTTTATAGCAGAATAATTTATAATCCTTTGGGTATATACCCAGTAGTGGGATTGCTGGGTCAAATGGTATTTCTGGTTCTAGATCCTTGAGGAATCACCACATTGTCTTCCACAATAGTTGAACTAATTTACACTGCCACCAACTGTAAAAGCGTTCCTATTTCTCCACAACCTCTCCAGCATCCATCTGTTGTTTCCTGACTTTTTAATGATCACCATTCTAACTGGTGTGAGATGGTATCTTGTGGTTTTGATTTGCATTTCTCTAATCACCAGTGATAATGAGCTTTTTTTCCTATGTTTGTTGGCTGCATAAATGTCTTCTTTTGACAATTGTCTGTTCACATCCTTTACCCACTTTTTGATTTGTTTTCTTTTTGTAAATTTGTTTAAGTTCCTTGTAGATTCTGGATATTAGACTTTTGTCAGATGGGTAGATTGCAAAAATTTTCTCCCATTCTTGGGTTGCCTGTTCACCCTGATGTGTGTTAATATTTTGATATGTTCTCTTCTAATTCTTTGAAAAAAATTTCAAAACATAGTGGGAACATATTATGTATACAGCTTTTCTTCACTCAATATGCTAGCATAATATTTTCATGTGTCATTAAATACTCTTCAAAAACAGTTTTAGTTGCTGTACAGCATTCTATTTTATAAATCACATAATTCTGTTTTTTAAATGTAAACCTTAGGATTGCTTCAAATTTCTTACTATGACGTACATGAAAATTTTTTTTTTTTGAATGGGAGTTTTATTCTTGTTGCCCAGGCTGGAGTACAGTGCTGCGATCTTAGCTCATTGCAACATCTGCCTCCTGGGTTCAGGCGATTCTCTTGCCTCAGCCTCCCAAGTAGCTGGGATTACAGACACGAACTACCACACTTGGCTAATTTTTGTATTTTTTAGTAAAGAGGGGTTTTCACCATGTTGGCCAGGCTGGTCTTGAACTCCTGACCTCAGGTGATCCACCCGCCTTGGCCTCCTAAAGTGCTGGGATTACAGGCCTGAGCCACCACGCCTGGCCATGAAATTTTTTTAACTTTTTGCTCAGGATTACTCTGGCTATAAGGGATCTTCTGTGGCTCCATAGAAATTTTAGCATTTTAAAAAATATTTCTATGAAGAATATCATTGGCATTTTGAGAGATTGCTGTGAATCTATAGATTGCTTTGGGTAGTATAAAATTATTTCTTAAGTATGGATCCTGAGAAGTAAAATTTCTAGAAAGTTTTAATATTTTTCATAAACTTTTTGAAGTTTTACATAACAAGCAGAAAGACGCACCAATCATACGGGCACAGTTCAGTGAAATTTGAAAAAAAAAATGAATATATGAACCTCCCAGAAACCCTTTCCCAGTCATAACTCCTACTCTTCCCCAAAGGTAACCAATAAACTACTAACATAGATGAATTTTGCCTGTGTTTGAATTTTATATAAATTGAATAATATTGTATATACATATTTGTGTCTGTCTTTTGTTCAATGTTATATTTGTGAGATTCATCCATGTGTTGCGTTATAGTAGTTTTGCCCATTTTCGTGGCTGTGTAGTATTTGATTATATGAATATAATGACGTTGATTTATCAGTTCTATTGATGGACATTTTTGCTGTTCTAATATTTCAAATAATGCTTCTAGGAATATACTTGTATTTAACTTTTGGTGTACAAATCTAAGTATTTCTGTTCATTACTCAGGAGTGGGATTACTGGGTAACAGAGCAGGCATAACTACAAATTTACCATAGACAGCATACTGTTATCTAGTTACCCATTTCCACTCCCAATGAATGAAAGTTTCATGTGTACCACATCCTGGTCAGTATTTGGTATATTTTATATATATATATATTTTCAACTTTAGTCATTCTGTTGGATTTTTATTTTATTGTGATTTTTATTTGCATCTCCCTGATGAGTGTTGAGGAAGAACATGTTTACATATGTTGTGGATTTTGTTTTGTACTGTTTTGTTTTGGCCGTTTGGATATGTTTGTGAAGTTTTTGTTCAAATCCTTTGCCTATCTTTCAGCCTGGGTTGTTTATCTTTTTCTTATCAATTTGTTGCCATTTAAATATATATATTCAAAGGATGAGTCCTTTGTCTTTAGTGATTGCAAATGTCTTCTGCCTTTTGGCTTGCCTTTCTGTTCTTATAATTTCACCTTTTGCTGAGTTTATCACTCTTTATAGCCAGTGCTTTTGACATCCTGTTTGTGCCTTAAAAATATATTTGATTTGGAAACTTAATAAATATTAAGAAACTTAAACGAGCTAATTAGAGGCTGATATTTGGTTGTTATATTGGAGGGCTATTCAATTTTTTTCTTCATGCCTATTCCAAGAGTGACATCTTTCAGATGTTGTTTCCCCCAACCTTTCCATGAACCCAGAACGCCAGCTTCCAGCCCACTGAGACTGTGCTCTGCTTAGCTTCCCAGCATTTCAGCTGCCTCTTTTACCAGACTTTCAAGCTTTTCAGCAGCTTTTAATCCTTTCAGCTGCCACTTTGCAGGCTCTCGGTTTCTCAGCTGCCTTGAGAAAACCTCTGAGCTAGCATTTCAGAATTAGCTCATGCCTTCAGGTGAAAAATAACACGAATTGCAGAGTGCCTCACTTTTCTATACTTCATTTCTCTCAGATCGTAGCCTCTCAGGTTCTCCCTGCTTTGGTGGCTCTCAGATGTCTTCAAAGAGATTTAAAAATGTTATCCAGCTTTTTTGGTTGTTTTTGGTGGGAGTGTTGGTCTGCTACAGGCTTGACTTTATTTGCTAGAAGCGGAAGTCTCTAGGAATGTTTTTAAGGCTCTCTAGGAATGTTTTTAAGGCTGTTGAAATAGCTTCCTGAATTGCTGTAAGTTTACATTCCCATTGGTGGAGTATCAACTTGCTAGAATTATTTTCATCTTGTTTAAACCTTTGAAAAGCTAGGCACAAAATTAACATTCCATTATGTTTGAATTCTCATTTTTACTTGAATGAGACTGAACACTGTTTCGAACAATGGTTTTTTTGCGTCTTCTATTTATGATTTACTTGCTAATATACATTATTATTCATTGATTTTTAAGAATTTTTAATGTGTAATATTGCCTGTATTAACAAATAAGAATCCATGCATTTGAAGATATTATATTAATAGACCAGAATAATTAGTTTTTTCATTAATCTTTATAATGTTTTAATATTTTTGAAGGCAAGGGTTGTATCCCCTTTTCTTTTGTATTCTGTCTTGGTATCTGGTATGTGGTACAGGTCATATTAACATGAAGCGGATCGCATTTCAAAAATAATGTAGAGAGAAGAGCAGGAAACCCTTCAGGAATGTTTTCTTATGTCACGCTGTGTTCAGTGATTTATCTGTATGAAAGTTTGTCTAGTTATTGATTTATATAATTTCATTTAGGAGCATCACCTCAAGTCTAAGTTCATGAGGCATCTCATTTTTTAGCTTTATTGATATATATGATATACAAAAATTTGTACACATTTAACATATACATCCTGAAGAGTTTGGACATACGTGTACACCTGCGATATCTTCACCACAGCCAAGGCACTGAATATATTCATCACCTCCAAAATTTTCCTCATGTTGTTTTGTATGTGTGTGTTCTTGTAAGAACACAATATCAGATCTGTCCTCTTAATGTATATTAAAGTACACAATACTCTGTTGTTAATACAGGTACTGTGTTGTACAGAAGATTTTTAGAACTTATTCATCCTGCATAAAAAACTTTATAACCACTGAAGAACACTTCCCCATTTCTCCCTCTCCCCAGTCCCTGGCAACTACCATTTTATTCTCTGCTTCTATGAGTTTGACTATTTTGGATACTTCCTATAAGTAGAATCAGAGCCATTCCAATTTTGAGTTATCTTCTTTCTCACATCCATGCAAATCATTAACTTAAGATCAAATTCTCCTTTGTGATGTATCAGAAAGTGCCTGTTTTATAAATCGCCACAAATTTAAAAGGAGAATTATATGTCTTGGCTTCCTCACATGAAGTTAAATTATCTCGCTCCTGGAAGCATTCATATAAATGGTGAGTGTCAACCTTACCAGTTGCATTTTGAAGGAGTTGAAGTGTTAGACCACTTTAAACTGATTTCAGAGTTCTAAAGCATGCACATAAAAATTTAGAAAATCTAAAACATTCTTCATTCCCATAGTTTATCCATAGTGTTTGGATTTCAAGAAATCATCTAAACAGTTTAATTTTTTAGTCAGCAGTATGAAAATTGTGTCTGAGATTAAGGGATAATGGAATTTTCCTTATCCACATTTTGGCTCTATTAATTGTGAAAGTATGATATAACTCACAGAAATGTCCTTGTTTTAGTCACTGCCCTACATTTTTTTTTGGTCATTTTGTAAAACACATTATTGGCTCTCATGCTGCCTCAGGCCCTCAGGGAATGGTGTTCTGCAGAAAACTTGAAGCCTTTAGGGAAGGCTAGTCTAAAAATAAAACCCTCAAGGTATTAGACCAGGGATGAGGGACAGCATTTTTAACATTGCAAATTGCTATATTAAGTGGAATGAAAGTACCGTTCTCTTCTGTAGGTTATGTGAGAAGCAGCAAAACATTTTGTAAAGAGCAGAAACTTTGGAGCCGGACGCCCTGGGTTCTAATCACGGTCCTCCCACCAGCTGTGTGATTGGCAGCACATTGCCCTCTGAGCCTTGGTTTAATTCTCTTGAAAATGGGGAACATAACTTCTGTCTTTGGGGTGGTTTGTCAGGATTAGCAATAATATATGTTAAGGTCTGGTACATGGTAGACATTTAAGAATTGGTAGCTATAATAATTGCACATCTGAAATTTTTTTTCTTTTTCTGGGATAAGGCTTTTTTTCTGCCCCTAATATAATGATGGCTCAAAGACGAGAGGCAATTTTACCTGAGTTCCAATCCTCGCTCTACTGTTTACCAGCTATGTGACCTTGGGCAAGTTACATAGTTTCCTTGTGGCTCAGCTTCCTCATCTATAATTTACATTTCCTCCTTTGCTTGAAAACTTAAGGTTTTATACATATATAATATTGTATGTATTAGATATAAAGTTGGAGATTGAACAAGTCTGTGGGTTATTTTCTGAGTACCATTGAATGTCATTTACAAAAAGTATTTTTTTCTTTTGCTTTGAAGTAACAATACTACAATTGTTTTCTTTTTTGTTGCATTTTTATAGTAATTTTTTTATATCCTACATTTCAAATATACCACTTTTTACATAAGGTTTTGTTTTACTCCAGTTTAGTATCATCAGGTAGTCTTATGCAGATGTTCATATGATGCCATCTTTATGGCTCACCCTTATGTTAATAAACCATAGTTATTCCTCAGAGACAGAGAATATATAATCATAGCCACTGCTCAGAGATAAAGATCAAATAATCGAAGACATCTCAAAAGTAAAACAAACTTGTAGGGGAGACTAAAGACTATGTAGGGGACTTCAACAACCCATTCTCAGCGTTAGATAATCTAGACAGAAAATTAACAAAGAAACCTTGGATTGGACCTAACAGACATTTTCAGGGTATTTCACCCAACAGCTACAGAATACACATTCTTCTCATCAGCACATGGAACATTTTTCTAGGATAAACCATGTGTTGGGATGCAAAGCAAATCTCAATAGAATTGAAAGCATATCAAGTATCTTTGCAGATGACAATGGAATAAAAGTAGAAATCAATAACAAGAGGAACTTTGGAAACTTTACAAATATATGGAAATTAAACATGCTCCTGAATGACCACTGGGTCAGTATGGAGTTTTCTCTAAAAACAAAGAGGAGAACTACCATACAATCCAGCAATTTCAGTGCTGGGTATATATTCAAAGCAAAAGGAATTTATATATCCAAGGATACCTGTGGTTGCATGTTTATCATAGCAGTATTCACAATAGCAAAGATGTGGAATCAACCTAAATGTCCATCAACAGACAAAGGGATAAAGAACATGTATATGTACACAGTGGAGTTCTATTTAGCCATAAAAAATGAAAGCATGTTATTTGCAGCAATATGGATGGAACTGGAGGTCATTATGGTAAATTAAATAGGCTAGGAACAGAAAGACAAGTACCACATGTCTTATTCATGTGGGAGCTAAAGAAGCTATGTCATGGAGGTAGAGAATAGAATGATAGATATCAGGAGCTAGGAAGATAACAGAAGAGGAAGAGGGGATGAAGAGAGGTTGTTTAATGGATACAAACATACAGTTAGATAGAAGGTAGAAGTTCTCATGTTCAATAGCAGAGTAGGATGACTATAGTTAGCAACAATGTTCTTTATATTTCAAACTAATTAGAAGAGAGAACTTGAAATGTTCCCAACACATAGAAATGTTAAATACTCTAGATGATGGATACTCCAGATACCCCGACTTGATTATTACACATTCTATACATGTAACAAATGCTCACATGTACCCCATGAATAGGCAAAATATTATGCATCAATAAAATAAAAAAATAAAAAGAAATAGAAGTAGGAGACAAAGGGAATATAAACAAAACCTATCACCGATAGGACTTATCACTTCTTTTGCTTTTTGCATTTCTAAAAGGTTAATCTATTAGCCACTTAAAAATACATTTTTAAAGTCTTCAATTATAATTAATTTGCACTTCTATTAAATGCTGACCTTTCATGCCACTTGAGTTTCAGTTTTGATTGTCATCAGAAGTCACTTAGCATATTCTCTGAACCAGAGCCCTTCCTGACATTTAATTTCTTTTTAGTATTTATGGGGAAAAGTAACAGGAAGGCAAATAAATCCTTGTGCTTAATAATCTCATTTTTTAAATGTCTATGGAAAAACTAAGTGTTCCTTTGAACATTAGTGAGAAAATTCTTCTTTTTTGTGGTGAATATTGTGGTTAGAATTAGAAATATGTTAGGAATGGAACATCATTATAAATAGAACACTACTTGTGGTTCATACTTAAAATGTACACACAGCATTTTTTCCTTTAGCTTTATTGCATATAGGTTTTAGGTTAGATATGCCTTGCAAATAAGGTAATTTTGATGCCATGATGATGTGCCCTATATAAAAAATAACTTTAAATAAGCTCTTCCCTACCCTGTCTCACTTTGTGTGATTATTGTATATTCCTTTTTGGTTTGTTTTCAAAGCTTCCTTTGACTCTACTTACAGTTAAACCAGAGAATAAGAGAATTAACGACAAAAAAAGTAGACATTGTTATAATGATCTAAATTTATAGAGTATTCATTTTAATTGCAAAGTAGGTTGCCCAATGAAGGTGATTGCCTTTTATTTTATTTATTTATTTATTTATTTATTTATTTATTTATTTATTTATTTATTTATTTTTAATGAAATAAAGTTCTGAAGTGAAATGGTTGATTCTTTATTTCTGGTTCCACCTTTTTCAAAACAGAACTCAGGAGTATACTTCCATCCTTGTGTGTCCTTCGACTCCCATTCCCCCAGTTTTAATTAGAATCTCTGGATATGTTGCAAGGGCCTAATATAGGAAGGAATATAAATTTATATGTGATACACTTTTTTCTTTCCTCTCTTAGTTTGCAATTTTATTTCTTTCTTAGATGAGAGGAAAGATAGGAATGAAGGTAGGACCAAGTGAAATTCTTGTTGGCTAAGAGTGTGGCAAATAGCAGAAGAACATGATGTGACATCTTTTCTCTTCAAGCACAGGCTGTGGCCCAGAATGAGAGAGAGATGCTCCATAATGTCACAAGAGCTCTCCTTTCTCTTAGGCATTGTTCTTTCCTTTAGACTTTCATTTTGTTCAAGACAAAAGCAGACACCCTTGAGTAACGCCAGTATTTCACATTCCTACCTGTTTTATTCTGCTGTCAGTAATGAGTTGGCTGGAACGCGTGGGTTATTCCCAGCAGCCAGTTTCTGTTTATCCGTTAGGGGATAGAATAGTTTTAGAACAGCAATTTTTTCATAGTGGTGCCACTCGTTTCTTCCCAGCATCCTGGGATCAGTGGAATCAAGGCCAACCTTTAGAGCATATGCAATGAGTACAGCATTTTAGAAGATTGGACTGAGACCGGGGCTGGTGGGATGTCTCTGCTGGGAGCCCTGGGAAGCTTGAACCCAGGTCCTGCAGAATCTGCAGACTGTGGTTTGCTTCTTACCCTCTTTTCCATAGAGAGTGGCATACATGGTTATTGTTATCTTAAGCAACTTTAGGATACACAGCTTTGTGTTAGGTCAGATATGTTACAAATAAGATAGGTTGCAGCTTGCATCCTCAAGGAATTTTATACAGGAAACAGGAAGAAAAGTGTGATAGAATAGTACAAGATCAATATTGATTTAATGTGGAAAAAAATTATACAAAACTGTAAGTGTATGGGGAAAATAATATTTTACTCCCTTAATTTCATACCAGAAAAGAAATCCCTTTTGTCCGTTTGGTCTGTTTGTCTATACCTATGTACATATGCACAAACACATACATGTATATGCATATACACACACATCTACATACATACATAACAATGGGACTATGTTGTACGTCATTCTGCATGTTAATTTTTTCTTTTTTTTTTAGTATATGATGAACATTCTCTGCTGTCACTATTCTAGATTGACCTATTGTTTGTGATAGCTGCATGGTATTCCTAGTATGTATGTATCACACTTTATTTAACTGTTATCTTTTTTTTTTTTTTTTCCTGGGACGGAGTCTCGCACTGTCGCCTGCGCTGGAGTGCAGTGGCATGATCTCAGCTAACTGCAACCTCTGCCTCCTGGATTCAAGTGATTCTTGTGCCTCAGCTACTGAGTAGCTGGGATTAGAGGCACACGCCACCACACCCAGCTAATTTTTGTATTTTTAATAGAGACAGAGTTTCACCATGTTGGCCAGACTGGTCTCGAGCTCTTAACCTCAAGCTATCCACCTGCCTCAGCCTTCCAAACTGCTGGGATTACAGGTGTGAGCCACCGCGCCCCAGTTTATTTAACTGTTATCTTATTGATGAGTATTAAAAAGATGTTGAGTTTTTCACTGTGAAGTAATGCTACAATGAACATTCTTATCTGCATGTTTATGCTAGTGTTTTTATCACGTAGAATTCTAGACAATATTTAAATTGTTTAATATTAAGAAATACTGCCTACTCTTACTCCCAAAATGCTGTACCAGTTCATACTCCCACCAATAGGCTATAATAGAGATATTGATTGCATAACATAGTGGAAGTCTGTAGAAGATTATGGTTATAATATGTTATAATTTGATAGCACTTTGTAGTTTATAATTCACTTTCATCTATCTTATTTAATTCACCAACCTATGGTGTGGTTTTATATCTGCATCTTTGAGATAAGGACATTTGAGAGTCAGGAAAGTTCACTGACTTGCCTGAACATCTTAGTTAATGAATGCAAGGGCCAAGACTATTACCCAGATATTTTTTCTCTACTTTCGACATCCTTATAGTAAGATAATTTAGGAAAAGCTTGAGGTTGGCCATATTTAGATGACATTTTCTTAGCATTTGTGAAAGTTGATAGGTTTTATGTAGTACTGGGTTACTATGGATTTGAAGGAAGAGAAAAATGCAGAAAATGATTCAGATCAAATTGCATATAAAGAGAACATACTTAGTGAACCATGAAAGAATTTTTTGGTTATATATACACATGGTATCTATATCTATCTGTAGATATAGATACATGCATATATCTATATCTAATCTGTATATCTTTATATCTATCTAGGCAGCCCAGTGAATTTTAACATCAAGGCAGAATTTTGTATAATGAGTTTCTTTCTAAGTTGTAATGTGGTGCTCCTATCTCTTTTGCAAGATTTGTAGTCTGAGTCATGGTAGAGATAACAGGCAGTTAGACACATTAGTTAACATGCACTCTGAATACAGGGTCATTTGAAGGCCTAACTGGGGAGGCAAAGATAGCAGGATTCTCCTAGAGGGGTTAGAGATGGAAGTTGTAGAAGAGAGGCTATGATTCTAATGGGCTGGTAAAGCCAGTGTACTCCAGCTTGTATGTGGATCCAAGGATGGTCTTTTATTGGAGATTAGAAAGGGAGGTTGGTTTTGAAAATTTTCAGTGTAGAGATACAGTCAAAATAATATAAAGGAAGAGAAAAAGGAAAGGAGCAGAAAGGAAAGAGAATAAAACCATCTTGAAGAATTAGAGATGGCAGGACGAGATAAAGAAAGAAGCTGGTACAGGAAGGGGAACATCACGCTCTGGGGACTGTTGTGGGGTGGGGGGACGGGGGAGGGATAGCTTTAGGAGATATACCTAATGCTAAATGATGAGTTAATGGGTGCAGCACACCAGCATGGCACATGTATACATAGGTAACTAACCTGCACATTGTGCACATGTACCCTAAAACTTAAAGTATCATAATAATAAAATAAAATAAAAAAAAGAAGCTGGCCCTGTTTAGTTGACTGGAGTTCAGTGTAGGTGTCCCACTTTTTTGCTCCTTTTCTCTGCAGTCCCAGTTTTGATGAGGACTGCTTTGCAGAGTTTTATGGAAGCCCTCAGCACTTCAGCCTGTGAAACTCTTCTGAAAAACAGCCAACATTTATATTACTGCAGCATCAGAAAATCCTTTTGGGCACTGAAAGAATTGGCCTGAAGAAATCTTTCCTTTTACTTACTAAATATTCAGTTCTATTGGGATTGTAGAATTTTCACTTTGTTTCATGTGAAATTGTGATTAAAAGGTGGTCACTCCAGTTTTAGCAACCCCATGGGAAAACTAATCTCGTTGCTTTGGAGCTTTATTGTATTTTTACCAGATATTTGTACCATCTGCATTGGGAAACACTGAGCAAATTCAGCACTGTTAAGATTCTTTTTACTGAGTCTCATTTTTTTAAAGAAAAAAAGTATTTGTATTTTTCATGCATATTTAGATTCCATATGTCATATATTTTTGGCAGACCTAGACTTCTGTAATCACGGTATAGAGCCCTACATTTACATGAATATTCTGGTAAAAAAATATAGATATAATCCTGATTCATTTCCACATCATTTCTAAATTTATTGTAATTGCTTTTTAAATTTAGCAATATGTTTTTGAAAACATACATGTGATATGTAAAAGAAAACAAAGTATTATGTTTTTCTAGTACTAGTGGCATTTCTGTATGTTGTATTCTCTGTTTTACAGCATAGCGTAGTGGCTAAGAACACACTTCCTGGGTTTAACTCCCAGCTTTGCCCATTATTAGTCATGTGACCTTGGACATGTTACTTGACCATTCTGTGCAATCGTTCCATCATCCTTAAAATGGATATTATAGCAGTAGTAATGTCATAGTTGCCGTGGAATTTTTAAAGCTAACATATTCAAAGAGCTTAAGACAGTTCTTTGATATTATACTTCCTAACAAAACTCAGGAGATAAAAGGTTATTCTTAAGAATGCAGATTGCCCCTTTGAATACTGAATATCTTGATATGTCTATTCCTTTATGCTTCTGGATACTTAAAAAACAAAATTTTAAGAGTTTTGTTTTTGAGTTCCTACTGTTTTTATTTGAAATGTGTAACCACAGTGGAGGTGATTATTAGCTTTCTGATTACTTTTCTCTGATATGTGTAGGATATTGTGTGAAAGGAAGGAGGCACAGGATACTAAACATATTGATATTATGCTTGATGGCCTAATTTGGTAAAATTATCCAGCATATGGATATATTCTAAGAAAAACAAAGTCACCAATCATGGAAGTAGTCCATGTAATCCACTCGTCACCAAGTAGCTGGCTAGTGTCTCCAGGAGATTATGTCATTTTCAATAGGTTTAGTTTTGGTCCCTGTGTTGCCACAGTGAGTATCCAGTGGCTATAGCCAGATTGATCTGGGTGAGTGGAAGTCCATGTTGCTGAGCACATGTATAATCTCTGTCCCTTCTGCCATGGCTATGTTGTTCATGAATCCTTTAGGGAAGGACAGGAGTGACTAGAGAGAGAGGTTGATTGATCTCAATAGAATAGGTCATCTTGTCTGCCTGATTATCAAGCTCTTCTTTTGAAAGTTGCTATTTGGTGAGCATTTACATGACTAGCCAGTCAAACCATTAGCTACTGTCTATGAATGAATGTAGTTTTTCATCTCTGGCATGAATTTGTCAAAATGAACAACCAAGTATACTATTCAAAATGTTGCCCACTGGGAGGTTTTCTCTGCTGTGCCCTTACGGGCTTCCAAGTGGGGCTGTAATGCTACAACTCTTCACCCCTGTGTGGCACCAATTTATTGTGCAGAACCATCTGCACAATAAATCAGGCCTTAATTTTTTTCTTCTTTAGTTAACTGGTCATAAGAAACTCCTCTCAGTGAGGTCACAGGTGAAGTTTAAAGAGAGGGTCATTACAGCAAACATAGGAGCTGTGGGAATCTCAGCCACTTGCTCATGTAACTGAACTGTGCCCTGAGCACCTGCCAGGTCTGATTTCATACATACCCTTCTGTATAAGGCTAAAATGCTCCATGCAAACCCAACTGTATGGCTTCAGAAAGTCAGACAACACCAAGTTTATGTGGAGCACTCATGTTCCATAGCTTTGTTCCAAAATTCTAAAGATCTGGTCTGACCTTTAAGGGGCCTGCCAAATGCTATACAGAATCCCTATGTGCCACAGACACCTAAAACACCAGTAAATCTTTCGGCTCAGTGGCAGAGCAGCTTTCATAGCAGCCCGGACCTGTTGTGGAGCCTTCTCTTATTATTACTGATTACTCAAATATGGCAGCTTTTCAAGCTACTTGATAAATAGGTCAGAATAACATACCCAAATGAGGTGCATGTTGCCTCCAGAGTCCAGAAAAGCCAGCTAGATGCTGTGTCTCTGTATTAGTGGTAGGCAAGAGAGCTATCACTTTGGAAGGGATATCTTGAAATACTACTAAGACCCCTAGAAAATTTAAAAGATGGCAGGCCTCTGAATTTTTTTAGGACTCTTTCTTCACTCTGTCGCACATGTGTCTTACCATGCATAGGGTATTTGCCACTTACTGTATAGTCAGCATGTAATAGACAGCATAACATTCTATGGACTAGAAGTACAACCAAGGTCCCTGTGAACGAGATTATGATAGCGTGCTGGAGACTTGACAGAGCCCTGAGGTAGGATAGTAGGGTAGGCAAATGCTTCAAGTAGTCTTTGCTAACACATATAGAGAAAACCAGAATTTGACAGATCAATAGCCATGTACCAGATGCCAGGAAATATGTTGATTCGCTCCATCAGTAAAACCACATCTGGTACAGCATCTGCACTCTTCAAAATCCATCTGTTTTGTACAAAGCCAAAGAGACAACTTGAATAGAGATATGGCAGAAATGATCACCTTCTTCTTGCAAGTCCTTGATGGTGACTCTAATCTTTGCAATCTCTGCAGGAATGAAATGTTGCTTTTGGTTTACTTTCATAGGTAGAAATAGATAGTTCTAAGGGTTTGCAGTTAACCTTTCCTACCATTATACCCTTGCTCCACAGATTAGAGAACCAGTGAGAGAATCTGCTGAGTTTGTCTGTTCTAACTCAGCATTTCAAAACTGGTAGAATAACCATGGCATGAGTTCTGGGATGAGTGGGAGTTGTAATGAGCCCAAACTTCATTAATCATGTGATTTCCATAAACTCCTGCTCTGAATAGAATCAGTACTGTAGAATATGATACTGACATGGTTGGGCTGTTTGTCCCCTCCAGATCTCATGTTGAAATGGAATCCCCAGTGTTGGAGGTTTGGGCCTGGTTAGAGGTATTTGAGTCATGGGGTGGATCCCTCATGAATGCCTTGATGCTGTCCTCCCCGTAGTGAGTGAGTTTTTGCACTGAGTTCACACAAGATCTGGTTTTTTAAAAGGGTATGGCACCAACCCCTCTCGCTCTCTTGTTCCTGCTCTCACCCTTCACCTTCCACCATGATTGTAAGCCTCCTGAAACCTCTCCAGGAGCAGATGCTGGCACCATGCTTCTCATACAGCCTGCAGAATTGTGAGACAAAATAAACCTCTGTTCCTTATAAATTGCACAGCCTCATCCTTTGGGAAAAAAGAATGTATGTGTGTGTGTGTATGTATATTTAAATGCCAACAAATTTATAAGAAAAAGATAACCCAGCTGAAAGATGAGCAAAGGACTTGAACAAAAACTTCAACAAAAAATATCCAAACAGCCAAAACAAAACAAACAAAAAAATGGAGAATAAATATGTAAGTTATTTATTAATTTTAGGATTTCTAAAAGTTAAACAAGAACGGAAAATATTCTACTGTTGGCTTATCAGTAAATATACTATTTACATAACTACATTAATACACTACTGTAATTCAGAAGTTTCAAATAAAGATTTTGATAGTACAAAGGGAAGAGAAATTAGTTGGAAATGCTGTGACAGCTAAATCTACATCTATACTTACAGGAAATCAGGAGTTAATATATTTAAGTGATAAACCAAAAAGTAATTTCTTCATGTTATTTAGATATATAAAGAATAAATATATGAAAAAACCTTTAAAATAATTAAGAATGAGTACCTCTAAAAACAGGAATGGGGTGGTGAAGATTGGGACAGGGTTTGATGATCACCTTAAAACTTATCTAATTATTTTTAAAATTATGTGCATATTTTATGAATATTAAAATGAGTAAACAAAAAATTGATCCCACAAAACAGTGCAAATGAATTTAGTTATCTAAATATTTATCAGAATGTGTGCAAAGCATAGTGGTCGTAGGGAACAATGGGATTAATAAAATCAATGGCTGCCTTCTAGGAGAATATAGCCTTTTCAGAGAATAAAACAAGTACTTAAAGCACTCCAAAGATCACTTGAGCTTGGGAGGTCAAGGCTACAGTGAGCTGTGATTGTGCCACCACACTCCAGCCTGGGTGATAGAGTGAGATCCTGTCTCAAAAAAATAAAATAAAGCACTCCAGTGGCAGGTAAGACTAAGGAAAGAGGACCAAGAGAATACTACAACCGCTACTGACCATTCTAGCCACTGAAGCCCAATAAATATGACATTCTGGCACACTCCAAATATAAAACACTCCACTTATATCATTAACCTGATAGCCCAGCATTGTTTCTGTAGATGGAATAAGAGAGAATCATAAATCCAGTCACTTCTACCATACGCGAGTTTTACAAGTACACATACATGTGGTGTGTTTGTATAAACATGTGTATTATGTATGCATATATCATGTGCACACATTCACACATAATTTAAAATTTTTCTCACTTGGAAGATTTGTTAAACATTTCCAACAAATGGCAAATAAAGACTAGTCGAGATTGGATTTAACATTAAGACTCCTGTGTAAATGTTACCAACCTACGCTGTCTGTTGCTCTCATGCTGTTACTGTCCTATTTCATTTGGAAATACAAATTGTAAGTGTGAAACTTTTTAACCTATTCTTACATAAAATTCAAAGAAACTTCAGGTGACAATGATATTTGATGAGAAATGCTTAGAGGAAAGAATCTTTTAATGTAGTTACTGTGAGCATTCAAGAGCACTGCTTTGGTTATTATACTTCATAAGAAAAGGAAGAAGGCCAGGGAATATTTACATTCCAATGAGCCAGGAGTGAAGTGAATGACGACCACTGTACAGATACTGAGGCAAAGGCATTATTAAGTCTGTTCATGCTATGTTCCTTAGTATTTTAAATTGAAGTTATTTTCCTTAATGTTTAACTACAAAAATGCTTTTGTTTAATTTCTTTGTTAAACTCTTTATTTCTTAGAGAAATTGACAATTTATATCTAATAGGCACTGAAAAGTTGATTAGAATCTCTGTGTTCATGGGCTGGTTTGACAGTGGGTAGGCTTCCATATACAGGTGACTGGTCACCAAGCTGGCATTGTTCTTGGGCTACCATCAGATGTTAGTATCTAGAGGTTTTTCCTCTGTGGCAGTTTAGTTACAGCCTTTGAGTCTTCTGCATGGGCAATATGTGCCTGGCTTCTGGCAGTCTGAGAGCAGGATGGCAAAAGGAGCTAGGTTCTCAAATTGAATATGCATTCACTCAGTCCCCCTGTTTTCAGCCTTGCACTAATATTTTCGAGTGTGGTGCTTGTCAGGTTCAGTTGTGCCACAGAGTTGGGCTACTGAAATGGAGATACGTGCTTTCATGTGATTGTTCAGAGAGGAGAACTAGGTGTGGAGTGGGGTTCCAGTGTCTGATTTTCAGTCAGTTTTCCAGTTTTCAGCTCTGCCTATATACTCTGTGGTAATTGGCATCCAGAGATTCTCTGGGCATCTACAGGATTGTTTCAGTTTCTTCAAAGCATATTTCCCTGGAAGTATTGAGAATAAATTGTTCTCTGTTCTGGTTTCTTAAGTCAGTTACTACAACACCATTTGCTTTTTTTGCCTTAAAACATTAAAAAACATCCTGGCAAACCAGGTGAAACCCCGTCTTTACTAAAAATACAAAAAAAAAAAAAATTAGCTGGGCATGGTGGCAGGTGCTTGTAGTCCCAGATACTCGTGAGGCTGAGGCAGAAGAATGACGTGAACCCAGGAGGTGGAGCTTGTAGTGAGCCAAGACTGTGCCACTGCACTCCAGCCTGGGTGACAGAGCGAGACTCTGTCTCAAAAAAAAAAAAAAAAATTAGAAAAAATTTTTTATCTACTGATGTGTTTTTCATTTATACCTCTTGTCCTTTTGGTTTATATACTTTGTTTAAAAAATCCCTTTACTGTCATTTCAGTGTAATTTTCGGGATGTGGACTGTGGTCAGTCTTCATTTTTTACGAGAAATTTAGAAACCATTTATTTGCTCACCATTTTCCTTTTAGTACCTGGCATGTAGTAGGTTCTTAAATAGATATTTGATGAAATATTGAATGAATTGTTAGAAGTTTTTATAGTTGTGGGAAGCTTTTATGGTAGAAAGATACAATGACTATGCAAATATAACAAGTTAAAAGTCATCTTTTAAATTATGGTTTTACTTTGGCTTCATCCCATTTTTTGTTTTTGTTCCTTAACATGGTCAAGGAAATGAAATATTTTAAACAGTGTGGTAGTACAGGATGGATATATGTTAGTTTACTTTGTCAAACACAATTTTAGCTGTCACATTAGGCTTAAGATACACATTTGTCTATTTATAATTTTTCTAGAGAAATTACCTCTACCTCTATGGAGGTAGACTTGTATTGAGGTTAATTTACAATTAAGCACAGCCTTTAGTCTTAATTATATGTATATTTAGGGTACTTCTATAGAGGCTGATGGTGATTATGGTGTAAAATCTTCCAACTACCACTGCTCTCTTCCCACTGGCCCCTTTGTGGTTAATAAAGTTCAAGAGCAGCTGGCTTAGTGTGGCATCTTATCCAGGTATGTTTTGTATTACAAAGTGAATATGTGAGGATAGATAAAATCTAGTAAGGGCAAAGAAATTAAACCGTAGAAGTGAACGCAAGTAGTAAAGTTGATATTTTGAATGAATAGATCAGGATTCTTCTTTTTATAAAGGCAGCCCTGGACAAAAAAAGATGGGATTGTAGAGCTATAGGTATGTAGAGAGTCCCTGATTTGGCTACATTGCTGGATCTTGGGTCTTAGAAATGTGATATCCCTACCCATCATGCATTAGTAAATGAATGAATGAAATTTTGACAGTGACCCTTAAAATCAATGACTAGGCTGGGTGCAGTGGCTCACGCCTGTAATCCCAACACTTTGGGAAGCTGAGGCGGGTGGATCACCTGAGGTCAGGAGTTCGAGACCAGCCTGACCAACATGGAGAAACCCCGTCTCTACTAAAAATACAAAATTAGCCGGGCTTGGTGGTGCATACCTGTAATCCCAGCTACTCGGGAGGCTGAGGTAGGAGAACCGCTTGAACCCAGGAGGCGGAGGTTGCGGTGAGCTGAGATCGCACCATCTGGGCAACAAGAGTGAGACTCTGTCTGGAAAAAAAAAAAAAAAATCAATGACTGATTCTAAGTCGAAATAATGAGTAAACTGCAGTTTGTTTTAAACTGCTGTACATGTATGTTTTCCCAGTCTCTTAAGAGCTTATTAAAGGAATCTAGCCAGAAATTCAGAGACTTCTTTCTAACTATAAAGAGGTTACCTCTCCAGTAAAGACCTACGGAAGGAAAAACCCATACCACAAAATGTGTAAGACAGCAGATAAAGAAAGTCCCTTACAGAAAACTCTGGAGTTACAGAAATCTGGGTAAGAAATTGGGGGTTAGGATAAGAGAAAGGTGATAAGAAACTTTTTGGAGCAAGCTAACTAAATATGTTTGTAAGTTTTCTGGAATAGATTCTTCATACCTGAATATTTTTCTAGTCATCTCTCCTTTAACATCTCTATCTTTGTTATTTGGTTGACATATTCTGATCAAGTTGCTAACACAAAATAAGATTGGTTTTTTAGGGAGAAGAGAATAGAGGAGATAGATGTATACATATCAGAAAAGAAAGGATGAAAGTCAGTGGACTTGGGAGAGAAGAGAGACTATGAGAAGCAAAGAGAGCTTTAGTAAAATAAAACTTTTGAAAATATTACCAAGACATCTTAGAATTTTTCTTCTCCTCTTGAGTAAGTTCTCCAGTATGGTTGGTGGTGGAACTTCTGGAAAGAAATTAAAAATGAATGAATTTTTAATTCAAAAACTAAAAATGAAAAAAATTGATGAATTAATTGGATAAATAAATAAATAGCAAGCCAAGAAAATGTTTCAGATCTTCATTGACAATTACTTAGTGCCTACTTATAAGGATGTTAGAACTAAAGTGTGTAATTGTTATGTGTGAAATAGGAAACCTGCTTTAGGTTTCTTTGTCATCTGGTTTTGTGCTAATGTAAAATTAGAGTAAGAACTTGTACCAAAGAACTATTAATTAAAAAAAAATAGTGCTCAAGAGAACCAGGTAATAAAAATCTGTATTAATAGTGACTATAGCAAAGCATGAAAATTAAAATTAACATTTAATTAAAATTAAAGGCACTGGAAATATTTTAAAAATTAACAGTAAGATTATAATTTTTGTCTTTGGGGCAGTAACACATTTTGAGATTCCTCGCACTTTTGCTTTATATATGAATGTCATGAAATTTCCACCATGGTTGACTAAAGATAAAATAACAGAACGATATTTTAGTGTTGACTACACTGGAGACTAAAATATTTTTAAACGGTCAAAAAGAGCAAAACTGATCCTTCATGATGAAAGGCAGCCCTGGAGTTAAATGTTATTTGCAAATCTCATTTCTCATTTACTTTTTGTGTTTTGGTTTTATTTTCAGGCAAAAGGACTCTTGTGGAAGATGGAACTCATTGTCCATTTTCCAGAATGTATTTCCAAGCCCATCAATGGGACCTGATACTGCTGTTCTGTGTTGAAATGCTTGAAGAACTCCTGCATCTCTGCTTGCATCTTCCATCCTACTGAAACCATGGTCTTCTCGGCAGTGTTGACTGCGTTCCATACCGGGACATCCAACACAACATTTGTCGTGTATGAAAACACCTACATGAATATTACACTCCCTCCACCATTCCAGCATCCTGACCTCAGTCCATTGCTTAGATATAGTTTTGAAACCATGGCTCCCACTGGTTTGAGTTCCTTGACCGTGAATAGTACAGCTGTGCCCACAACACCAGCAGCATTTAAGAGCCTAAACTTGCCTCTTCAGATCACCCTTTCTGCTATAATGATATTCATTCTGTTTGTGTCTTTTCTTGGGAACTTGGTTGTTTGCCTCATGGTTTACCAAAAAGCTGCCATGAGGTCTGCAATTAACATCCTCCTTGCCAGCCTAGCTTTTGCAGACATGTTGCTTGCAGTGCTGAACATGCCCTTTGCCCTGGTAACTATTCTTACTACCCGATGGATTTTTGGGAAATTCTTCTGTAGGGTATCTGCTATGTTTTTCTGGTTATTTGTGATAGAAGGAGTAGCCATCCTGCTCATCATTAGCATAGATAGGTTCCTTATTATAGTCCAGAGGCAGGATAAGCTAAACCCATATAGAGCTAAGGTTCTGATTGCAGTTTCTTGGGCAACTTCCTTTTGTGTAGCTTTTCCTTTAGCCGTAGGAAACCCCGACCTGCAGATACCTTCCCGAGCTCCCCAGTGTGTGTTTGGGTACACAACCAATCCAGGCTACCAGGCTTATGTGATTTTGATTTCTCTCATTTCTTTCTTCATACCCTTCCTGGTAATACTGTACTCATTTATGGGCATACTCAACACCCTTCGGCACAATGCCTTGAGGATCCATAGCTACCCTGAAGGTATATGCCTCAGCCAGGCCAGCAAACTGGGTCTCATGAGTCTGCAGAGACCTTTCCAGATGAGCATTGACATGGGCTTTAAAACACGTGCCTTCACCACTATTTTGATTCTCTTTGCTGTCTTCATTGTCTGCTGGGCCCCATTCACCACTTACAGCCTTGTGGCAACATTCAGTAAGCACTTTTACTATCAGCACAACTTTTTTGAGATTAGCACCTGGCTACTGTGGCTCTGCTACCTCAAGTCTGCATTGAATCCGCTGATCTACTACTGGAGGATTAAGAAATTCCATGATGCTTGCCTGGACATGATGCCTAAGTCCTTCAAGTTTTTGCCGCAGCTCCCTGGTCACACAAAGCGACGGATACGTCCTAGTGCTGTCTATGTGTGTGGGGAACATCGGACGGTGGTGTGAATATTGGAACTGGCTGACATTTTGGGTGATGCTTGTTCTTTATTGACATTGAATTCTCTTTCTCATAGCCTCTCCACTTTATTTTTTTTTATAGGGTTTGTGTATGTATGTGTGTGAGCAGTGTAAAGAAAGAATGGTAATTATAGTTCTGTTACCAAGAATAAATAATAGGAAAGTGATTACAAATATTACCTCCAGGGTTCAATAGAAATCCTCAATTTAGGGTGAGGAGACTTTTTTTTGGTTTTGGGGTTTTTCCTTGATTGATTTTGTTTTCATAGTGGGAATCAGGATTGTGCTTTATTGAGCCTGCAGTTACATTGAATTGTAGGTGTTTCGTGTGCTGCTAAGGTATGCTTATTTGAGTTTATCAAGACTTTTTTTTTCTGGAAGACACTGCTGCTTTTACCATCACATTGGAGCCAAACATCTCAATCAATATATATTTAGTTTTATTTTAAAAACTAACCCAGGAAGGTTAGCGACATTTTAAGGGTCATTACTATTTACTTTGGTGCACTTTAAGAGATAATGTACAAATTAATTCAGTCTTATTTTTCAGAATTGTTTTTATACATGATATGTGCTTTAGGAAATGTGCATTATCATTTATGGGAAGATAGTTTTAAGAAATGTTTTATCTGCATGTACAGTTGTAAAAGAGAACATAAAATGTAGATACTTTTCTAAGCACAATAGCAACTCTTCAAGCAATAGCGCAAAATCTAGGAGACAGGATCCTTGCAAATTTAAAAGGTGAATGTAGTGAGGGGGATGGCAAGTGGCTGGTACAGGCTGTGGTGATTCCTTTTACTCAAGGGTTTTTGTGGAGTATAGGGAGAAGGGGTTGATATTTATGGACACCTATGTGTCAGGCACTGTGCATCATTTTATCCTTACAGGATGTTGTGAGGTAGGTATTATTGTTTTCATTTTTACAGGTGAAGAAAGCAGGTCTCAGAGGGACTAAAATCCTGCCCAAGGTTAGTGGTAGAGCTGGGATCCAAAAATCTGTCAGAATCCTGAGACTGCGCTGTTCCACTGTGCCACGCAGACAGTTCATTCAGTTTAGATGTCACATAGTCAAGAGGGAACTCTATGCATCCTTTAATTTTTTAGACTATGATATTCTTTTTAAAAATTAGCCTTTATTTTCTAACTACCAAAAGAAATATGAAAGCATTACAGAAACACTGGAAAATAGAAAAGAAAAAATAAAATCACTTACAACCACTTTTTGTTTTTTGGAGTCTCGCTTTGCCACCCAGGCTGGAGTGCAGTGGTGTGATCATGGCTCATTGTAGCCTCAACCTCCCAGGCTCAGGTAATCCTCCTGTCTCAGCCTCCTGAATAGCTGGAACCACACACACACACGCACACACAGGTGTGTGCCACCACACCCAGCTATTTTTTTGTATTTTCTTTTGTAAAGACAAGGTTTCACCATGTTGCCCAGGCTGGTCTCAGAGTCCTGAGCTCAAACGATCTGCCTGCCTTGGCCTCCCAAAATGTTGGGATTACAGGCATGAGCCACCACATCTGACCTACAACCACTTTTTAATGTGAGACTTAAAAATCTTAGATAAATAAGGCTGTGAAGCAAAACCAGTGATTTTTTTTTTTGTTTTTGATTTGCAAAACAAGTGACTGACAATTATTGAGAAATTAAAGATAGCTATGTGTAGGTCTTGCCCCTGCGGGTTTGGAGGTTTCCAGTTGTCCATCTGTGTTAGTTGTAAGTGTTCTGGGCAGAATAGTATTGTTGCCCCAATGCTTGCCCTAGCAGAGCTGGAGTTTGTGAACGTGCTCAGATGTGTGTCTCCTACAAAGAAGGGAAAATGAACCCTCGTCTGAGCCTAGAACAAGTTTTAATAGGGCATGTCTGACATTTCAAATTGTTTTTCTCTTGCTGACAGTCTGCCCCCAGGTGCATCTAGGGCCTTGGTCAGCTTCTCTGTTACCAGTGGCTCACTTTATAAAACAGCCCACAGGGATAAGGGCTGAAAATATAGCCACTTGGCTACATCATTGACTAATTAAGTAAGTTAACTGTGGATTTATAGCATCTTTTCAGGATGTTAGTGTTTTGTGAGCCAGTGGAAAAAATAAGCTTCTATTTCTTCATTTGTAAAACCAGAGAGTTGGATTAGATGAATCTCTAACGTCCTGTCCAGCTCAAATGTGCTTTCCTCTATACTAGGGTATAGATTTTTGAAGAGCCTAGCTGACTTCAGCATCACCTCACCCTTTGGTCTCCAGTATTACTTCTTTACATTTTACTTCATTAGCTATTTCTTAATATTAAATGTCTGAAGAGTGTGGCACTGTATCAGGAGTTGGGGCATTGAAAGGTTGAAGACATCATGAAATATCTGGGAAACTCTGCTCTTAAGGAAATTGCACCGATGTTGGAACTCATTGTCCAGTTAAAGAGCTCTTTGGGGACTCAAGCATATTATTCAACATGTTGTTTTGGGATTATCTTCAAATGATAGTCACCTACCTCTTTCATTTCTAATTTTTATTCACAGGTAAAATTGTTTTTGTCCATAGGGATTTTATAGGACATAAGCACTGTAGTAGATACTAGTAGCATTTTGAAGTGTATTATGCTCTCCATTTTCCATATAAACTAGATTTCAAGCAGATATTGATAAGGACATTTTTTATTAGACTTTTCTCTGAGGAAAGTCAGCATGATCTGTATTCATCTTACATATTGATAGGTCATGAAGACTCCTTTTTGGCTGGAGGTGAAACTGAGCTTTGTTTTCTTTGTTCCTGTTTTATGGGCAGTCTTTAGGTACTTTCATGCTGCTTAATAGGCAGTGCCTCATTTGGTGAGAGCTCTGGAGTGCCTGCCGAGACGCTCCCTGTTTGTGAACAAAGATTATGAAGGGGTCTTTGTGAGAATTCAGCAGCAACACTGAACAGCAGTTCTTTTTACACTGGATTATCTTGATCTGATGAGAGTTTACAAATCATTTTGAACATTTTTATTATGTATACATTGTGAAAGCTTTAAAAATAAGTACTATGGAGCACCTTTGAGAAACGTAGGTGCAAAATCATATGTTGCCTATTCCCCCATATTTTCTTGAGGCAGGGAAAGATACCACTACTAATTCTCACTGCTTACAGGCATAATCAGAAATGGTTTTTTGTTTGCCTGTTTTTCCTTCTGGCTAGTAAGAAGCGTAAAAGAGATAATGAAATATTTGTGGTCAAAAGAAAGATGCAAGGGAAATTCCAAATAGTATGGAGTAACATTATTTAAACTTTAATACATGTTTAAGCATCCCCAAGGGAGCTTGTTAACAGTACAGATTCCTGGGCCTCCAGAGGGTCTGTGGTTGAGCCCAGGAATGTGCATTTTTATTTTATTGAGCACTCTGCCTGACTCTGGCTCAGGTAGTCCCTGGGAAACTCTTCAGGAAACATTCCTGTAGAAAATATATCTATTTAAATATCATCTGTTTTATCCCACAATGTTTGTTTCGTGTTGCAAGCCATTATCTTCTAGGCATGGGTAATCCACATTGAGAGGAAAATCCACACAACATTGTGCCTGATTTGCTGCCACCTGTGTTTGTGCTGGATCTTGCCAGTGTTAGCTTTATTTTCTTTCAACTGGCAAAATTCTGATAAAGCATATAGCTTCACAGTAGAGCAAAATGGGTGACTTAATTGAAAGTCATGACTTTCAGCAGTCTAATTATGCTCATATTTTATTTTCTTATAGAGAGCTGTCTTTATTGTGTGTAATTCCCGGAAGAATGTAAAGATTTATCTAATTCCTATTGCTCTGCCAGTTGTGTTCAATGCAAGCATTGAAGTAAAATAAAAATAACCTTTTTAATATGTGTATTTCTGTTGCCCACAAAGATATTTAATTTTTTTCTTGATCTTTGTTTTTGTTTATGTGAAAATATTTACATATGTATCATTTCTGTATATATCACAGAAAAGTTTTCACTTGCTTGACATTTTATTCTACAATGATTTTTAGTTTAAGTTTAAAGAATGGCTACATTCAGATTTATTTTCACAACTATAGTCCTGCTAAACTGCCTTCATTGAAAACTCAGTTTTTATGATAAAAAATATCAAAGCACAAGTTTGTTATTGGAGGTAAATTATACATTTCTTAGATATCTATTGGTACTAGACCTTTGTAATTAAAATTAATTTATTTTACAATAGTAACTGACCTGTATGGAAAAAAAAACAACCTTGAATTATGGGTTCTAATATTTAAATATCGAAAAATATGGTTATTTGTGCATATTCTTATTACAACCAAGAAAAGAACTCCTGATAAGAAAATAAATAAATATTTAACATTTCTAAAGTGGAGTTTTTTTTAAAAAAAGGACTACTGCATTTCATTTAGAAAAGTTTATCATGAATAATAATTTCTGTTAAAAGCTGAGTTTAGCTTCAAATTCTGCTTCCTTTGGGTTCTTATTTTCAAATTAGACCTCAAGGCCTGTGTGCATGTAACTATATTCTAGTTTTAGAAGTTCTCAGAGTAGTTCAAGATGAAATGACAAAAAAACTAGTAGTATAGTTAACAACTGTTGAGTTATAAAGCTGTTAAAGAGCTTTAAGAAATTCTGTCTAGGAAAGTGATGAAAATTTTACTGCTGAATTATTTAAAATTAGATTGTCAGTTTGGCAAAGCAATGATAATGTCTGCTTCTATTTTGATGAAATGATTTCATACTGCATTTCCATTTCTAAAAGCAAAGGCCTTTCTGTACTTATAAATCCATAGGAAACATCGTTTATTTGTATATAAGAGTTTCAGTTTTGTGCCAGTTAAACATGAGAGTTTTAAGTCACAAAAGAAGGTTGATTTACAATAGCAGGTTGTTATTGAATTTACATTCGATGTTTCCTTCTGACACAAAAAGGTAAGAAAGATACAGCAAAATAAATATTAAAGCAACATGTTGAATTAAAAGAATATTCACATCTACTATAAGAATAATGAACCCCAAGTACTTTTAAAGAATTTGAAAGCATTTGTAGTTATAACAGTATTCTAAGCGTGAAAGTACAATAATAGTACCAATAATAACATGCCATATTTTGGCCACTAATTGTGGTCAAATACACCTTCAATCTATTTAATGCACAGTATTTCCCCTTTTCTAGCTGAGGTAACTGTTCCCAAGAAGTTAAGTATATTTACTTAGGAATAGCTAGGATTCACATCTAGGCCACCTTCCTCTATTATTCTCTGATAACTGAACCAAGCCCCTAGTGAGAGGAGCTTACTAAATGTCATAGTGAATGAGTATTACTCTTAATGCATCAGATAATCAGCAGTAAAATCTGCATTCCAAGATGTGAATATTAATGCTAAACTGATATTGGTTTAGTCTTGGTTTTAAGTTGTGAACTGTATTTGGCTAAGTCATAAATAAGACTGTTAGGCTGACTGGAGCCCTGAGAGCCTGGGACACACCCATCTGTAATGTCATGGAACATTCACAGAACCTGCTGACTGCAGCAGAAATATTGGAGCACCCAGCCACTTTCCTCAGATCACGTGGATCCCGGAACTCCTTTTGAATAGACTCTCACCCTGGTGCATAATTGGGGTTCCATTATGTACTAATTTGTCTGAAATACTGGGGGTTATCTGTAGTAGCCAAGAATGAGAGAAAGGAGCTAGAGGTGATGAAACTCTGGCAAGGCTGGGTGGGGCCTAAATGTTGGAGGAGGCAGTGTGAGACTTTCCTGATCACTGCTCTCCCCTGTACTCTACCCTTGCTGGAGCCACCTGCGTAGGTGTTCTGGGGACGGAAAACCCAAAGAATGAAGAACTGCCAAGGACTCCAGCAGTTCCACAGAGGAAAACTCCTGTGAAAGAGCTCACCCTGAGAAGTGGTGATTTCCTCCACCAGACTGAGCCCCTTGAGCCAGTAAGCAGTGTTTTGCTTACTGCTGCATCCCCAGTGTTGAGTCAGAGCTGGACCATGGTACATACTCAATTAATATTGTTAGTAGACATTGTTTTTTTTTTTTTTTTTTTTTTTTAAACAATGACTAAGGAGAAAACCGATGTTCAGAAGAGATTGGTGTTTGGGGATCAGAATGATACTCGCATCTTCATATATAAACTGACTCAGTGGGACTTCTCTGCATGTCATTAAATGTCTTATCTCTGGCCAGGCGTGGTGGCTCACACTTGTAATCCCTGCAGTTGGGAGGCTGAGGCAAGCAGATTGCTTGAGCCCAGGAGTTCGAGACCAGCCTGGCCAACATGGTGAAACCCTGTCTCTACTAAAATACAAAAATTAGCTGGGCGTGGTGGCACATGCCTGTAATCCCAGCTACTTGGGAGGCTGAGACATGAGAATCGCTTGAACCCGGGAGGCGGAGGTTGCAGTGAACTGAGATCACACCACTGCACTCCAGTTTGGGCGACTGAGCAAGACTCTGTCTAAAACAAAACAAAACAAAACTATCTGTTATATATATAAATACAGTAACACCCATCAGTTTGGAATTTAGGATAACTAGGCACTGGTTTGTAGATAGTTTATCTAAGGTTGATTAAACCAATTAATAATATAAATTGTTACTGGAACATATTTAACTGTCAAAGATAAATCAGATAGTACTGAGCATGAAGTTGGAGCCCTTTGGGTCCCCACACCAGCTTTGAAATTCTTGCTGTGTCAACAAACGTTCAACATGTCGTAAAATGGCAGTATTTTAAGATACTCTTAAACTCATGATTGTTACAAGAATTAGAATTGCTTAATCAATTGAGTAATTTGTATAAAAAACTGTCCCAAAAAACTGTGGTACTGTAATTTGTTAGATATATTTGAAAATAATGAGACAGAATATTTTTAAATTATGTAATTTATCATCTGTTCTGTGACAGAACCTCCATTAGAGGTTTTTGGATACATTATGCCCTAATAAGCAGACAAGGAACTAGTTCTGGGGCAATTAAATGACTGGACCAAATTTTTGCAGCAGTTAGAAGACAGGCCGGGTGCGGTGGCTCACACCTGTAATCCCAGCACTTTGGGAGGCCAAGGCGGGTGGATCACGAGGTCAGGAGATCGAGACCATCCTGGCTAACATGGTGAAACCCCGTCTCTACTGAAAGTACAAAAAATTAGCCGGGCGTGGTGGCGGGCGCCTGTAGTCCCAGCTACTCGGGAGGCTGAGGCAGGAGAATGGCGTGAACCCAGGAGGCGGAGCTTGCAGTGAGCCGAGATTGCGTCACTGCACTCCAGCCTGGGCGACAGAGCAAGACTCCGTCTCAAAAAGAAAAAAAAAAAAAAGACAGAGCTGGGATTCAAACCAGACTCCCCAGCTCCCAACTTTAGAGCTCTTTCCCACTTCACTTGAGTCAGTGAGATATTTACTGTCAGAAAGGAAAGGGCTGAATAGTGAGGTTGCAAGCTTTGGAAAAACCTGTTATCAAGTAAGAAGAGGCCAGACAAATGATTCTGGAAAATACCTTCAACTAATAGGTACGTTTTTACTAATAGAAGCAATAATAATGGAACTTTTATAATATTTTATATAAAATAATTTTTTAAGGAGTTCATCTACTCCGTCTGGACTTAAACTTCTGAGGGGACCTAAGCTGGCCTTCCATAGCCCACCTGCTCTGGTAGGTATTGCTATCACTTTTGCTGTACTTAAACTGGAAGAACTCTTTGTTCATGGATGGTGGGAGTCCTTGGGAAGCTGTCAGCCAGAGATACGTTTCTGTACTTACCTCTTCTCTGTGGACTCATCTCATTAGCAAGGTAACTGCAAATGGCACAGAAGACATTTCTCTCTGACAGGAGAGAAAAAAGGATTTTTCTTACACAATTTCCCCAAAGGTAATCTCAAAAGCTATGATTAACCTAGAATGCAAGACATCACTGTATGTGAATCTGTGTGAAGGCTGCTATTGCCAAGCAATGGGTTCTATTTAATTTCTCCTGAGGGCAAAAGCCTTCTCATGAAAACAAATATACAGTAAAACAAGTTGCATACTGAAGGGAAATACAGAAATGTAGTCTAACAGAGATGTGATGCCAGCCACCTCTTCCACACCCCCCCACCCAAGACTTCTCATATAGACCTAGATCTTTTATTTCTAACCCCACCTTTCTCCTTTAATTACACTTTCTCTCCTACTAGATGCTAAGCTCCCTGAGGGCAGGGCACTAGGCTTGTTCCTGGTTTCCCCAGCATCTACCATGGTGGCTCACAGAGAGCAGTACCCTCTCAAAGTCTGGAAGTGGACCTTTTGATAATAGAATCTTGCTGGTAAAAACTAGGATGGACTTTTCCAAGCCAAATAAGTTCTAGGTAGCAAGAACTGAGATCAACGCCCATGTCTTCAGTCTCTGATGACTCACCTACTATTCTAACCTGCTTCCTGGACTTAAGAGAGAAAGTAATCTTGGGGTTTTCTTATACCATCCAGGCAAGTTTGGAGATTAATGTGTAGAGCGAATAAGATTGCTAATTTGTACTTGCTAAATCTGGCAGCCCTGAATACTGAACATATGTATATATTTTTTTGGCCCTATGATTTCCAATTCACGTCATGCAGGAGGTCCTCCATTTCACTTATTTATGAGGTGGCCCTGTGACTGCAACTTATGGTCTCGACTAAATATGCTGGGGCTCAGGCTCTTCACAGGGTAGAGGGAGAACATGACTTATGATGCAGCTGAAGAGTGCACATGCAGATGGACTAATAATGACTGCATGTAAGGTGCGTTTCTTTGACTGTTTTGGGTAATCGGAATGATTGATGATGGGGATATGGACAAGTCATATTCCATGACCACCTCCGTCATGGAGATTTTGGTTGGGAAAAGTTTTCTGTTGATGGAATTAGATATACATATGTCGAACGCCATTTTGAACACTTGCAACAGATCTTCAGAGTTTAAATCACTTTCACCACAGTTTTGGCAGGACTGTGACATTTTTTTTCAGTTGTTCTTCCTGATGGGAGCTATAAATAGCTTTGAGGAAGGATATAATTATCCCAAAGTAGAAGCTAAAGATGAAAAATCTGCTTGAGATTTTTTAAGGAACATTTAATAGTTATTATTATGTAACATTTATTAAGTATGCTCACTGTGCTCATTGTCTTTGCCAGGAAGAAACTGGGAATAAAAAGTCAATCCAAGATGTGACATGTATAAATAGACTAAAAGGTACATACATTAATGTGGTGCCAAAACAAACAGTTGGCTTAATAAAAAAAGAAAATTTAGAAGAACAAAAAGGCAGCCAAATCAGTCTACTATTGTATAGAAGTGAGGAAAACTTAAAATTTAGTAACAAATCTTTGAAACACTGACCATTTAAAACAAAGATGGATAGTCTGTAAAAACAGGGAACATTGGCCGGGTGCGGTGGCTCATGCCTATAGTCCTAGCACTTTGGGAGGCTGAGGAGGGCAGATTGCCTGAGCTCAGGAGTTCCAGACCAGCCTGGGCAACGTGGCAAAACTCCATCTCTACTAAAATACAAAAAATTAGCTGGGCGTGGCAGCGTGTGCCTGTAGTCCCAGCTACTTGGGAGGCTGAAACAGGAGAATTGCTTAAACCCGGGAGATAGAGGTTGCAGTGAGCCAAGACTACACCGCTGCACTCCAGCATGGGCGACAGAGCAAGACTCCATCTCCAAAAAAAACCAAAAAAAGGCAGGAAACATTATGGTATGTGCATGGGGTGGGGGTGGGTAATGCTGTGTTTTTGGCAACTAGCTCAGACTTTTACATATAAAAGGTGTTTACTTTGCTTAATGAGTAAGTTCTAAAATATGTAAATACTAAACAAAGGTTCAATGTTGGTTGAAGCAAGGTAAGTGTTATAAATAATGATTTCGGTTGTCAGTTCCTGGTTAAGACTTTTATTGCTGTTTAAAGCCCATAGAGAGTCCACAACCAAATAATTACATTAATGGAAGTCACTTATTTGATGCCTGCTAGGTGATGCAAATACTTTATGTAATCGCCAGTCCTTATAATGACTCTGGGAGGTAGATATTATTTATAAATCTTTAAAGCTTCAAGTGGTTAATTGGATTTTAAGAGGCTACGGGACTCATAAAGTGGAGGTACTGTTACCAAAACACCAGGGGTTCCCTGCTGCTCACTACGGAAAAAGCCATCACTGAGACGAGTATCACCAGGGAAGAAGGCTTCTAGTGTTGCAGCCAAGAATGGGAGATCAATCTCAAATCTGTCTCCGCAAGTGACTAAAATTAGGGGTTTATATAGCGGGGAAGAAATGGAACTCCACATGGGAAAACAGGAATTGGAGAAGGGGGTAAGGAAGAGGAATTGGTTAACAGGCAGCAAGTGGTTGGTTAGGCAATCATGACAGGTATTGGGTCTGACGTCTCATTGTCCAGATGCAGTGACTGATTGGAAACTTTCAGTTTCTTGACACTGTCTGGGAGGCCTGATGGTTGGTTTCCTGAGAAAGAAACTCAGATAAGACAATGCAAGTTTCTCAAGTTTTAAGACTGCGAGGGTCAATTTCTAGGTTTTTTCAAAAGAAACCATAAACATCAGTTATATGGGACAGTTGGGCTGGTTTCAGAACAAGAATTTAAACCTGCGTCTGTATGGACACTGAAACTCATGTGTTTTTTGTTTCCTTCACTTTATTCTTTCCTCATTCATGAAGGATTTTCCTTTAGAATCTGATTGTCCCAATCAACCTAGCTTGGGCCTCCTGACTCATCCTGTTGCCTCTGGCCTGCTCAGCTTGTCCTCAACTCCTCCATGGTCGGCTGGCTCTAAGCTTGGTGATTTGTCTACATTATTCATCACTTCTTCATCTCAGTATATACCAGGTTCAGCATTACTACTCAGCGCTGGTAATTTGCAGCAGTGCCACCGCACAATTTCTGACATAGGTAAAACATGCATATCCACTTTGTGACCTAAAGTAATGTGTTTCTCATTTGCAAGCAAGAGACACAAGAAATGAATTCAAGATCCCTGTTAAGCATTATTGGCCCTTATATCTTCAGAGAAGGTCTGAGTGTAGGGTGAAATCTAGGCAGGCCAGGCAGGCATGCAGCTTCTGGAGGCCAGTGCAACAGAAGACTTTTGAGATCTAAATAATACAAACAATGGTAGTTTCTTTGTGCTAGGTTATTCCTGGGAAAATTTTCAGACATGATGACCATCAGAAAGGCAGAAAAGATTTAGGTAGTGAGGAGGGACTCAGGCTGGTGAAGTTCCTACTCAGGTCTTTATTAACTGAATGCCAAATACCTCCTTTCTCAGGAATGCTAGCTTGACCATGGGATCTCAGGAGATCTGGAGGCCCGTGGCTCTGGTCATGAAGTCCTGATTCTCAGAAGCAGAGCCTCATGGAAATTTGACCCTTTCTGTAGCCTGGGTGCTTATCTGGGTGCTTTCAATATAATTCCCAAAGTGGCCGACATAGTACTATGGACGTTAGAAGGGTTAGGAGTAACACTAGAGTAAAAACAGCAGTTCCTTCCTCTTCTGGAAAGGAAACCATTACCCACAAGGGTATACTCAGCAATCATGCTTATGACAAAAATTAAAATATGGAACATGGGATATGGTGAGGGCTAGGAAGTGAACCATGAAAATACTGTCACTGTGGGACAGGTTATAATATAGCTTTTCAAATACTGTCTTGACCTAGTTTGGGGGCCCTGGTTAGAGGCTGGCCAGTTGCCCTTCTTTAGCTGATTAAGTCCATATCCAGAAACACCTTCCCTATCAAGCTTTTATTCCCTAAGTCAGCCATATACCCCACCTACCCTAATTCCCCCAGTCAGACACTAGGAACAGCCCTTAGGCTCCAGAGCTTGCTGGATTAGTCACACTAACCAATCCCAAGTCTGCATACCCTGCCTCACCCCTGAGCAATGCACAATAGAAGCTTCAGCCCACAGTTCCCCTTCTCTTTCTGCCCTGTGACAGATCCCAGTATAGCCTCCTATGGCGTAACATGTACTCTTTCTTGCGAACTGTTAGTAGTATAAACTGTCTTTTCAATGGCACTCATCTCCTGATGTGTTGGCCTTACCACACAGAAATAATAATAAAATCTATTACAACACAAGTGCACATCAAGGGTAGATGAGAGAATTTGGGAAATGACCTAAGAATTTATAAACCTTAAGAAATGGACTTTACAAGAATGATGCCAGTGTGTAAAGGCCTCAGGAAGTTAATGGGGTGCAGAGCTGGCTTAAAGGTAGGGGCTGAAGTTATCTGGTTTTACATAGTTCTTTTATGCCTTCAGATCTCTCTCTATTGTCATTTGAAGAAAATATACCTTTGTTGCCCTCACACCTCCTCTGCCCTTGTTCTATATACCATGTGCTCTGATTGTCTTCATGCTGTGCAACTTGACTCGCCCACTGGCATCCTGGCTAAAGTCTTACTACTTAATCTTTTGTGAATGACTTCCTCCATTGACTGACTTTTGGGGCTTTTTTTCTAGCAGTTAGTTGTGCTTCCTTCTTAAAGGAGTTAAAATTCTCTCTCTAGCCATGCTTCCTTAGGCTGCCTGGGTAATCATTGGTGCAAACATTATTCTGGGTGTATTACCCTGACCCCACAAATGTGACATGAAAATCAATCTGTGTATTCATTAAAGTAGTGATAGCTTTTGTGTCAATAAACCCCTCAAATCAATAGCTTAACATAAGAATAGTTGATTTCATTTTCATGTAACAATCCAATTCAAATGTCCCCAGTTGGCTCCAAGCAATCACCCAGGAATCCTTCTATGGGAAGCTCTAGTATCTTCAGCATGCAGATCCTAATGTATTCCAATATACAGCTAGTATTCCAATATACAGCTGTATTCCAATATAAAGCCAGTGATAAAAGAGATACCAGGCCTGGACACCTGGAAGATTTTTATGGCCAAACTTGAATATGGCCTCCATCACTTTCACAAATATTTCTGTGGATAGAAGTTGGTTATGTGGTTGCACCTTCCTGCAGTGGAGGCAGAAATATGGTCTAGCTTGTGTGCCCCAGATGAAAAGGAAATGAGTTTTGGTGAAAACAAAGTCATTTCTGCACAGTAGAGCCAACAGTGACCACTTTGTGGCCACAGCATCCCAAAGAGAGAAAACCTTCACCTGAGACTGTGGGTTTCCCTCACTGTTTGATAGTAGCCCATGAGAGTTAGCCCGTGTACAGCTCCAGCTTCCATCTTCAGACCCATGCCAAAAAGATTTCCTCTGACACAGTCTAAGTCCTCAACTTCCTTATGGCATTGATGAGCTCTGTATCCCAGGCTGTGAAATTTATGGATGAGGCAGAATGACTGACAGTCTTGATATCCTGGCTGAGAAGAGAGACAAACAGATGAACAATCCCACACTCATGACCAAACCAACTTTCCCCAGATCAGCATGAGGATTTCTCACAGTATTTCAGGCCATGTTAGGCCATCCCAGCCTGGCACTAAGTGCCTTCACACCCATCTGCCGCCTTTATCAGGGCATCAGTTAATGTGTTGCTGTATCTTGAAGTTCTGTTTGCTGGCACAGGCTTTATTCAGGGTCAATGAGAACCAGAGTGTTTGACACCAGGGAGGCTTTCCAGACACGTCTATGATTTATTACTCTAGGCCACAAAGTCAGCTGTCTGTGTATAGGAGGTCAACTGACCAGCCAGCCATATCTTCTCATTGGCAGAGGGCTGGACATAAACTATGTGAGTGGAGGAAGAATGCTGCTGCCATATGATAGCAGAATCGGTGGGTACATTTACAATGACATCCTAGGGAAACCAGCTGCTTCTGTAAATATTCCCCTCTGTCTATTCAAGGTGCCCTTTATCTGATGATTTGTAAATGCTGTAGTCTGCTCTAGTAAGTGCAACTGCTAGTTTTCTTCTTCTTTTTACTAGCTTATTATTTTCTTCTTGTCTTCTTCCCTCTTGTAACTGTTCCAATAAGGCAATGAACACTGCTTGTAGAATCCAGGCAGGCTGGACACAGTCCCATAGAATAGTAGTTGGAGAAAATCCTGTCCTCCGGGTCCTGGTGCATAGGTCCAGCTACTTTGTTTAAGTCTGAGTAAACACCACTGATTACCACTGATGGGTGCACACTAGGATAGGGCTTATGGCTCAGAAATGTTTGGGTGGAGGATCACATGGAACTAGTACTGGAGGTCAACTGTGATAAATAGGCATCCATATAAAAGTGCACCTTAAACAATCCTATGTGTCTCATGGGCCCTCACATACTCGTAAATGAGATTTTCCCATCTTCTGAGCTCATTTCTTAATTCTTCCATTTATGATTTCATTTTACTCCCAGGATCTGATGCTGGGCTCTAAATGTGTTGTATTTTCTTGACTATAATTCAGATTATGCCTCTGGAATTGTGGCTGCAAGTTTCCTGGGAAGATATTTGACCTGGCCCAAGATTTCCTCCAGATTCCTGTATACCACCCAGACCTTAATCTTCAGTTCTCCTTCTGAGGCTCCCTGGGATTCAGGAACTAGGATTAGTTAGAAAAGACCATTTGCATCAATGGGACAAACTGTCATTGAAAATAAATGTCCTAAGTTGTCTATATCTCAGGTTCTTTTACTGCAAAAGTACTATATTCCAAATATTTGTTTGTGCGTGTTTAATAAATAGTTGGATAATCCCTATTCTGCTTTCTGGAAGGTTCTCTCTTGTCCATTGCTTTCCATGGCTACACCTCAGATGGGTATTGGAGAGAGTGAGCCTTCCAAGAGTTATCCCTAAGGAGTCTGCTTTGGGTTAGTAAAATTTCAGTGTTCTGGGAGTTGATTTAGAGCTCAAGCAAAGCAACTTCTTTATCAATTAATGAGGGCTCCTACCCACAGCCTCCCTTTCTATTCCCTGAGTTCCAAGGGCTAGTAACTAAAGGTCAAACATTATGTCAAGACATAGTTCTTGACTTGTGAAACTGGGCATGGGAATTTCAATCTCTTAAGCAGCTGGCCTTGCCTTTGTCTCAGGCATTGGCTCACATACTTGCCCCTCAACTGAATGGCTTCTACCTAGAAATAAAATCAAGCGACAGCTGCGGTAGGAGTCACCAGTAATTCTCCTCTTGCCCCTAGGCTCCATCCTAGCTTCTTCTTTGCAATTAGGTGAGTTGAATTTTGTCAGTCCTGGGGTGCATAACTGCAGATAGTTGAGGGGGAACACATCCCAATTTCCTCCCGGGGATGACTTCTTCCCAGCTTTCTGGCATGTTTGTTAAATGACAGCATAGTGTGCCATTTTCTACCCCAGGTTTCATTTCATTGGATTTTTAGCCATCTCAGATTGTGGACCCTCAACAGAAATGGTCTCTACTAGCATATTTGTAATTTTCCTTCTTTTCTCTTTTCAGATGGGCCAATTTCAATCTAAATCCAATATTTTCTTGGTAGGACCTTACTGAAGGCCATAACAAATAACACTCTGAGCTCCCATTTGTTTTCCTATCAAGTCTTGTATTGAGGAAGCTTCAGGAAGCACATGGTCTCAGTCCCAAGATACAAGTAAATATTTCACTACTCCTTAGCAAGGATTGCCAGCTTCCCTGCCCAAGACAGAAAGTCCTTGTTATTTTCACCACGACTTTGCCAATTCCATCTTCTTAATTCATCTCTTATACTACCCCACTTCCAGTCCTTTTTGTTTTTAACATGCTGGAAGGGCTCTTTCCGTTGTAAGTAACAGAAAATTAACCAATCTGTTTGGGCCAGACAACATGCTCCACCCTGGATCCCAGAAGTGTGTGGGCTAAAAGCGAGAGGAGGAGTGGGTGACTTCTTAGAGAGAGGTTGGGGTGCAATACGGTTATCTGGGTTACTAGCAGCGAGTGTGTACAGGTCTGCAGCAACCTCAATTCTTGCCTTCTCAGAAGAAAGAATTGAACTAAGGGGCATAAAGCAGAAAAAGAGATGAAGGCAAGTTTCAGAGCAGGAGTGGAAGTTTATTTAAAAGCTTTATATTAGGAAAGAAAGGAAAGTACACTTGGAAGAGACCCAAGTGGGCAGTTTGAAGGTCATGTGCCCCGTTTAACCTTGATCCTAGGACTTTATATGCTGGCCCCCTCCTGTCATCTTGCGTCTCTTTTCCCATGATTCTTCCCTTAGGGTGGGCTGCCTGCATGCGCAATGCCTTCCTTGCACTTGGGAGGTGAGCACGTGCAGTGTGTTTACTAGCGTTGTGCATACAGTCACCTGAGGCTTTCTTCCCTTTTCTAGTGGAATGCCCCTGGAAGGTCATACTTAGCCATTTTGTCTCTTAAAACTCACGCTCAAGCTCACTCACCCAGTTCCTGAGATTTTATTGGAAGTTGCTGATTACCATTTTCAAGTGTTTTTATTCTGTTGAGAAATTGCTTCTCCCTAGCACCTGTGACCAACTATCATTTTAATGTGACAGCTACCAAGCCATCTCCCTGGCACTGGCTGCAACCAATGATCATTTTTAGAGAGGTAGTGTGACAACTGCCAGACCATCACCTAATGGTTGCCTCACATTCCTGGTGGATGGGGAGCCCTCTCCTTTCCTGCTCATGCCTGACTACCTACTGTAACACAATGACTAAAATGATGGTCTATAAATATTGGGTCATCAAAAAACAACACATTTCCATTACATTTGGTTTCCAAACAAAGCCAATGAATGCTGTTGGAAACAATAATATTGCACAATCCTAAAAATTGGTGCCACTTCAAGTTCATGTTCTCCAACTTTATTTGGACCTCAGCACTACTTGACAAACTTTTTACACTGCCCTGGTCAGCTCTTTTTATAGGCTCCAAAACTGATTATTTTTAACCCACATCAGTTCTTCCTAACTCTCGTTCAGCTTCAGCAGACAACCTTGCCTCTGGGTGCACCATGAAGGCAAGCAACATTTTCTGATATCCTACTCCTTATATAGTCACTGGGATATGTAGTCCCTCAATAAATATTGAATCAATTGCTGAAATATGGAAATACAACTATTGGACAATGTTAATAATGTGAGTTACTGTTATAAAGTGTGCTATGGGGAAGTAGATTAGTGTGGAGGAAGGAACATAAGCTTTGAATTGCAGCAGATGTGGGGTCAAGTTTTGACTTGGCCAGTTGTTTACTCTGAGCCTTTGTTTTCTCATCTGTGAAAGAAAGAAAAGACAACATATCCTTCATTGTTCTTCCGAGATTTGGAAATAAAATGAAGTTTGTAAGGCACCTGGCAGACAGATCTCATTCTGTTAATGGTAGTTAGAATGATAAATAATGAGGATGGACTTGTATCCCATATGATAGCTTATTTGTTCATCTCGTCAGCAGTTGCTGCAATGGAACTAATAAATTTTCCTCCCAATTCTTTCTCATTTTCCAATAATGTGATAATAAAATAAATATTTGCTTTAAAGGAAAAATGACAAGATGTGGATATCTTACCCTATTATTATATGACAGGTCTTATTTCCTTTTTTCACCATGATAATTTGAGTTCACTGTGTCTAAGCCCTCTCTGTATTGAGAAGCTGGGAATTGATATAGTGATGTGAAAAATAAAGGAAAATTATAGTTTTGCCTTGATTACTGAGATAAGTCCCTCCAAAAAGGGCTGATTTGGCTTTTCTTTTTAAAAACGTCTCCGTTCTTATTATAAAATGAAAACATTTATATTATATAGAAAATCTGAAAGATGTTGCAAAGCACAAAATATTAAAAAAAAATCCACTGACAACTAACCTATAAATATCCTCAACTAACCTATGAATAACCTATAAATATTTCTCTTTTTTTGTGAATGTGTATCATTGCTATATAAAACAGAAATCAAATTCTTTCTTCTTATTATTATTAAAGAGACAGGGTCTCACTCTGTTGCCCAGGCTGGAGTGAAATGGTGCAATCATAGCTCACTGTAGCCTCAAACTCTGGGCTTAAGCCATCTTCCCACCTCAGCTTCCCAAGTAAGTAGCTATGACTACAGCCGCACACCCCCATGCCCAGCTATATATATTTTATTTTTTTGTAGAAACAGGTTCTTGCTATGTTGTCCATACTGGTCTCAAACTCCTGGCCTCAAGTGATTCTCCTGCCTCAGCCTCCCAAAGTGCTGAGATTACAGGTGTAAGCCACTGTGCTTGGCTGAGAAGTCAGATTCTAATACTATTTTAATTTGCTTTTCACTCAGTAACAATTCCATCCAGTATTGCTTTACAATATTACATAAAATGCTGTGATGAACATCCCTGAACATATTTACTCACATTTGTGGGTTTTGTTGTTTCGTTTGTTTGTTTGAGATAAATTCCAAGGGGTTGAATTGTGAGGTTCAGAAGGCAGTCAGTCATTTTTGAAATTTTGGACTTATTGTCAAATTGCTGTTTAGAAAAGTTGTATGAATTTATATTCATTGTAGCAAATGCCTATGTCCTAATTGAAGACTGAGCTCCAGAATTAGTTTTTAATTTTTATTTTGGTAAATGAAAAATGGAACGTATTTCAAAATGCTTTTCTTTTATTGTTAGTAGACCAAGCAATATTACATGTTTATTTCCTTTTTCTATTTCTTGTGAACTACTTTTCCCATTTTTCTGTCGGGGCATTTGTCTTTTCCTTGATAATTTATGGGAGTTTTCCTAACATACAGCAGATGTAACCTTAGCATTGGTTTCTCTAGGCTCTGGCCATCGGCATTGCTTTCAGTTCTTTAAACATATCACACCCACTGGCCTTCCTGTCTTCATACGTTATTAGTAAAAAATTCATCTTTAAGCAGTTTGACTTAACCAGGTAGCAACTAGCATGTCAGACAATTGCCATGAGCTGAAAAGAATTCTGATGTGCCTTGACCCTTCCCTTAACAGAGATACAAATAATCACAAGTTTCTAGTGAAGTTTTATGGGTCAGTGCAGAGTGAGAAGAATTCAGTGAAATTCTGGTACAAATGAAGTAAACTTTATTTTATTTATTTAATTTAAATCATAAATTTGGATTTAGTAGAGTTTCTCTCTCTTCCTCAGGTCTTAAACATTCCTCAGGATGGTCTTCTGTAAGCTTCCGCAACCCCACTTGTCAATGGTAAATCCTCGCTATCTGTTCTGAAAGCATAGCACTGTATATACTTGCCTTTTCATAACACTCTTCACAATTAGAATTTCTTTTTATTGCTTGCCTTCTGCAACAGTGTAAACACTGTTAGGGTAAAGACATGCCACCATTGTTCACTGTTGTTTGACCATAGCCACAATTTCTTCTTTCTCTTTGTTAATGGAAATTTGTTCAGATATTCATCCCTGTGGTCCTCAGAAGAGGCCATCCTCACACCCCACTCTAACAGTAGTTGATTGATCTAAATTTTCTTTTTTTTTTTGCCAATGAGTTTATCATGATTAGGTGCATGATACAATTTGAGCTGATGAAGCACAAGGAAAGATTTCCTGAAAGCATTTCCTTCATCTCCTGGGCTACCTTCCAAAAAGGAGGTCACTCATATTCTGGACATGGAGACTATATCTCAGAACTCTGCCTCTTTTTCCTTTGGACTGAGGATGAAATCAATGCACAGGTGTCACTCCTGAAACCCACATCACGGCTGACTTCTGGTTATGTGTGCCAATAAATGTCCTTGTTTAAGCCAGTTTGAATCAGGTTTTCTATTACTTTGGCAAAGTGCACCATATCTAATATATATCTAATCAGTCCATACACTGAACAAATACTTACTGAATTGAATCAAAAATTATTTCTCATGTATGATGTATGTGTCTTCCTTAGTTTACATTTTATCCCTTACGTTTTTGTTTTGCTTAATTATAAGATAATAAAATTTATTTTCAAAAGTCAAAGCAATACAGAAATATGACAGAGAACTTTAATCTCTACTTTCTTCTTTCTAATTATGCTTTCCTGAGGTAGCTAATGCTAACCTTTGGCTGGATGTACCTGTGTATTTTCCTCTGGGCTCATAGAGATTTACAAACTTCTATTGTGTTTAGTTTTGTTTACTTGTTTATTCATTTTACAAAAATCGGGTCATGGTGTATATATTGTTGCACAATATCTTTGTTTTGTCTTCAAATTAATAGCTCATGGCTGTTTTTATAGGTTGGTCTACCTGGATACAACTCATTCTCCTTAATAACTATATACCATAGCTGATTTCTTTGCATTTCTGCTCTGGTTAAATGTTTCTCACAGAGGTTTTTTTTTTTTTTTAATTGCAAATTTCTTTTTTTAAAATTTTTTTATTATACTTTAAGTTTTAGGGTACATGTGCACACCGTGCAGGTTTGTTACATATGTATACATGTGCCATGTTGATGTGCTGCACCCATTAACTCGTCATTTAACATTAGGCATATCTCCTAATGCTATCCCTCCCCTCTCCCCCCACCCCACAACAGGCCCTGGTGTGTGATGTTCCCCTTCCTGTGTCCATGTGTTCTCATTGTTCAATTCCCACCTATGAGTGAGAACATGCGGTGTTTGGTTTTTTGTCCTTGCGATAGTTTGCTGAGAATGATGGTTTGTCCTTGCGATAGTTTGCTGAGAATGATGGTTTCCAGCTTCATCCATGTCCCTTTTTTTTTGTTTGTTTGAGACGGAGTCTCGGTCTGTTGCCCAGGCTGGAGTGCAGTGGCGCGATCTCGACTCACTGCAAGCTCCGCCTCCCAGGTTCATGCCATTCTCCTGCCTCAGCCTCCCGAGTAGCTGGGACTACAGGCGCCCGCCACCGCGCCCAGCTAATTTTTTGTATTTGTAGTAGAGACGGGGTTTCACTGTATTAGCCAGGATGGTCTCGATCTCCTGACCTCGTGATCCACCAGCCTCAGCCTCCCAAAATGCTGGGATTACAGGCGTGAGCCACCGCGCCCGGCCCAGAGTTTTATTCAATACTTTTTAAAAATGTAAATTTGAAACTTTAACTGTTTCCCCTTTGACTGTTCACTTTATGTCTCCAAATTTGGGGCATAAGAAGAAAATAGTAGATAGCCTGCACAACATGGCTTAACCTCATCTCTACCAAAAAACAAAAATGAAAACAAACAAAAAAAAGCATGAAAATTAGCCGGTTGTGGTGGTGGCACATGCTTGTAATCCCAGCTACTTGGGAGGGTGACGTGGGAGGATTGCTTGACCCAGGAGGCAGAGGTTGCAGTGAGCCGAGATTGCACCACTGTACTTCAGCCTGAGTGACAGAGCAAGACCTTGTGGACGAAAAGAAGAAGAAGAAGAAGGAGAAGGAGAAGAAAGAGGGAGAGGGAGAAGAGTGGTTGATGAAGTGACTTAGGCAATGGGAAGAATGTGTTAAGGCATCTAGCTTACCAGTTTGAAATTTAAGATTTCTTTTTCTTTTTTTTTTTTTTTTTTTTTTAGCAGGGCATTTTTTCTTATGCTTATTATAGTAACTTGAAATTTGTTCTTTGTGCCCTTTGCAAGAAACCGTACCTGGAGAACAGCCTTAGGGGAGATTTTTTGGCTGCAGGTAATAAAGTAATGGTTCACAAGGGCCCCAGAAATTAGATGAAAACCAGAAAGATCTAAGATTTTAATCCCAACCCAGAAAATCAGGACTGGTGTTTTTCTTTTGAAATGAAAATTTAACTCTTAGGTATACTGATTTATTTATTATCAGTGTGGCATATACTTTTTGTTTTTGATAGCTCTATTAAATACTAATTCTTGCTGATTGGGGATAGCTTAATTCCTTGTTAGTAGATATGCTATAGTTGAAAGTGTGAGTGGTAAATGACTTTATAAGGATCAATTCTTCTCCCTACCTCCCTTCAAAGATACATAAGAAGATAAAACAGTGATTTTAAATTGAGGAAAAACTAAAATTACCTGACACTTATGTTCAAGGTGACATACAATCAGAATTTTTACCAGTTTCCCTAAGGAACAGTTCATTCTTGGCAACAGCAAAATCAAATTTCAGAGGCAAAAAGAGAAAGAGAGAGCTGGGATGATCTGAATCAATTTGGATTCAATATAATAAAGGTAAAATGTGGGTAGTCGCAACATTTCCAAGCAGTTTTTATCAGCTAAATAATACCAGAGAGGACCAGACAGAACATCCTGTGGCAAATTAACCTATAAGGCAGATAGATAAAGGTGGGTGTGGCTTCTGTATAAGTTCAAAGCACAGATGAAAATTAGCTCCTCCAGGTATAGTAAATTTAGACTCCAGGAACACTGTCGTTTTCTGAGGTTAAAAATAATCCAAAAGTCTAAAGTCCAATTTTTCTCAAGGTAACTCAACTCAGCTTGTCTAAGTATACAGTGATCCAAGGCTTAGGGAGAGTAAATACTGAGTTGCTCACAGTCCCACCGAAAACAAGATCAGAAACAGAATAAAAACAAATGAACAAATAGACAAAACAAGAGGAAGAAAACTTTTTGCTTTTATTCTTAAGATAGATATATGCATTTGTGTTATCTTAGTTTTGGTTTTTTAAAATCACAATGAGCTAAGTTTTCATTTTGTATAATACACTTTTCCTAAGTGGAATATACTGGCAGCCTTCCATGAGTGGAGTGATATAGAGAGAAGTTTGAGAACAGAGGGAAACTCTCTCCATTATACTAGATAGTTCTGTATAAGGAATTCACTGAAGGTGAATAGAAAAAGGATACCAGTGATATGATTTAGAGTACATTTGGATTTTTTTTATATAATAATAAGTTTTCTGTTCTGTAAAAAATAATATTTTAAAATAATGTTTCAGGTAATTTTAGTTAGCTCTTTGGGTGATTTTATTTTTTTACTTGTTTGAGACAGTGTCTTAACCATGTTGCTCAGGCTAGAGTGCAGTGGTACGATCTAGGCTCACTGCATCCTCTGCTTCCTGGGTTTGAATGATTCTCATGCTTCAGCCTCCTGAGTAGCTGAGATTATAGGTGTGCACCAACATGCCTGGCTAATTTTTTGTATTTTTAGTAGAGATAGGGTTTTGCCATGTTGGCCAGCCTGGTCTTGAATTCCTGGCCTCAAGTGATCTGCCAGCCTCAGCCTCCCAAAGTGCTGGGATTACAGGCATGAGCCACCACGCCCAGCCTCTTTGGGTAATTTGATTGCAGCAATAGGGGCCCAAAAATTTCTAGGAAGATTATGTTTTGAGTATCAACTTCAACTTTAATTTAAAAGCTCCATGTCTGTTTAGCTTCAAATAAACAGACTTCAAATAAACAACTTTAATTTAAAAGCTCCATGTCTGTTTAACTTCAAATAAAACATAAATAAAATGATTTTTTTATTAGTAAAAAAAAAATCATCTTTAAGAAGTTTGATTTAACCAGGTAGCAATTAGCATGTCAGACAATTGCCATAAGCTAAAAATAATTCTGATATGCCTTGACCCTTCCCTTAACAGAGATACAAATTTTCATTTTCAATTTTTTCTCATTTTATTTTAAGTTCTGGGGTACATATGCAGGATGTGCAGGTTTGTTACATAGGAAAACGTGTGCCATGGTGGTTTGCTGCATCTATCAACCCATCACCTAGGTATTAAGCCCAGCATGCATTAGCTATTTTTCCTAATGCTTTCCCTCCCCGCACACCCCACCTCCCATAGGCCCCAGTATGTGTTGATCTCCTCCCTGTGTCCATGTGTTCTCATTGTTCAGCCTCCACTTACAAGTGAGAAGTGTTTGGTTTTCTGTTCCTCCATTAGTTTGCTGAGAATGATGGCTTCCAGCTCCATCCATGTCCCTGCAAAGGACATGATCCATTCCTTTTTATGGCTGCATAATATTCCATGGTGTATATGTACCACATTTTCTTTATCCAGTGTATCATTGATGGAAATTTGGATTGATTCCATGACTTTGCTATTGTGAGTAGTGCTGCAATAAACATATACGTGTGTGTATCTTTATAACAGAATGATTTATATTCCTTTGGGTATATACCCAGTAATGGGATTGCTTGGTCAGATGGTATTTCTGGTTCTAGGTCTTTGAGGAATTGCCACACTGTCTTCCACAATGGTTGAACTAATTTATATTCTCACCAACAGTATAAAACCACTAGTATCAATAGCTGAATAGACCAAGTGCAGCAAAAGATCCACTTTGTTTCTCTGCAGCCTCAACAGCATCTGTTGTTTCTTGACTTCTTAATAATCGACATTCTTACTGTTGTGAGATAGTATCTCACTGTGGGTTTGATTTGCATTTCTCTGATGATCAGTGATGTTGAAATTTTTTTCATATGTTTTCTGGCTGCATAAATGTATTCTGTTGAGAAGTGTCTGTTTATGTCCTTTGTCCACTTTTTAATTGGGTTGTTTTTTTTTTCTTGTATTTTAAGTTCCATGTAGATTCTGGATATTAGAGCTTTGTCAGATGGATAGATTGTAAAAGTTTTCTCCCATTCTGTAGGTTGTCTCTTCACTCTGATGATAGTTTCTTTTGCTTTGCAGAAGCTCCTTATTTTAATTAGATCCCATTTGTCAATTTTTGCTTTTATTGCAATTGCTTTTTCCATTTTCGTCAAGAAATCTTTGCTCATGCCTGTGTCCTGAATGGTATTGCCTAGATTTTCTTCTAGAGTTTTTATAGCTTGGGGTTTTACATTTAAGTCTTTAATCCATGTTGAGTTAATTTTTGTATAAGGTGTAAGGAAGGGGTCTAGTTTCAATTTTCTGCATATGGCCAGTTTGTTATCCCAGCACCATTTATTAAATAGGGAGTCCTTTTCTCATTGCTTTTTATGGTCAAGTTTGTCAAAGATCAGATCGTTGTAGACTTGCAGTCTTATTTCTGCATTCTCTATTCTGTTTCATTTGTCTGTGTGCCTGTGTTTGTACCAGTACTATGCTGTTTTGGTTACTGTAGCCTTGTAGTATAGTTTGAAGTCCAATAGCATGATGCCTCCAGCTTTGTTCTTTTTGCTTAGGATTGTCTTGGCTATATGGGCTCATTTTTGGTTTCATATTCATTTCAAAGTAGTTTTTTCTAATTCTATGAAGAATGTCAATGGTAGTTTAGTGAGAATGGTATTGAATCTATAAATTACTTTGGGCAGTATGGCCATTTTCATGATGTTGATTCTTCCTATCCATAAGCATGGAATGTTTTTCCATTTGTTTGTGTCCTCTCTGATTTCCTTGAGCAGTGGTTTGTAGTTCTCCTTGAAAAGGTCCTTCACTTCCTTTGTTAGCTGTATCCCTAAGTATTTTATTCTCTTTGTCTGTTGTTGATGTATAGGAATGCTTGTGACTTTTGCACATTGATTTTGTATCCTGAGACTTTGCTGAATTTGCTTATCAGCTTAAGAAACTTTTGGGCTGAGACAGTGGGGTCCTCTAGGTATAGGATTATGTCATCTACAAACAAAGGCAATTTGATTTCCACTCTTCCTATTTTTTTTCTAGTTCATGAATTGTTTTATATATATATATATTTCTATTATACTTTAAGTTCTAGGGTACATGTGCACAAAGTGCAGTTTTGTTACATATGTATACATGTGCCATGTTGGTGTGCTGCACAGATTAACTCATCATTTACATTAGGTATATCTCCTAATGCTATCCCTCCCCTCTCCCCCCACCACACAACAGGCCCCGGTGTGTGATGTTCCCCTTCCTGTGTCCAAGTGTTCTCATTGTTCAATTCCTACCTGTGAGTGAGAACATGCAGTGTTTGGTTTTTTTGTCCTTGCGATAGTTTGCTGAGAATGATGGTTTCCAGCTTCATCCATGTCCCTACAAAGGACATGAACTCATCATTTTTTATGGCTGCGTAGGATTCCATGGTGTATATGTGCCATATTTTCTTAATCCAGTCTATCATTGTTGGACATTTGGGTTGATTCCAAGTCTTTGCTATTGTGAATAGTGCCGCAATAAACATACGTGTGCATGTGTCTTTATAGCAGCATGATTTATAATCCTTTGGGTATATACCCAGTAATGGGATGGCTGGGTCAAATGGTATTTCTAGTTCTAGATCCCTGAGGAATCGCCACACTACTTCCACAATGGTTGAACTAGTTTACAGTCCCACAACAGTGTAAAAGTGTTCCTATTTCTCCACATCCTCTCCAGCACCTGTTTTTTCCTGACTTTTTAATGATCACCATTCTAACTGGTGTGAGATGGTATCTCATTGTAGTTTTGATTTGCATTTCTCTGATGGCCAGTGATGATGAGCATTTTTTCATGTGTCTGTTGGCTGCATACTCTCTTTCTGTTTGAATACCCTTTATTTCTTTCTCTTGCCTGATTGCCCTGGCTAGAACTTCCATTGTTATGTTGAATAGTAGTGTTGAGAGAGGACATCCTTGTCTTGTACTGTTTTCAAGGGGAATGCTTCCAGATTTTGCCCCTTCAGTATGATATTGGCTGTGGGTTTGTAATAAATGGCTCTTATTATTTTGAAGTATGTTCCTTTAATACCTAGTTTGTTGATAGTTTTTATCATGAAGGGTTGTTGAATTTTATCTAAGGCCTTTTCTGTCTATTGAGATAATCATGTGGTTTTTGTCTTTAGTTTTGTTTATCTAATGAATCACATTTATTATTTGTGTATATTGAACCAATCTTGCATCCCAGGGATGAAACCAACTTGATCATAATGGATAAGCTTTTTGATGTGCTGCTGGATTTGCCAGTATTTTATTGAGAATTTTCACATCAATGTTCATCAGGGATATTGGCCTGAAATTTTCTTTTTGTGTTATATCTCTGCCAGGTTTTGATATTAGGATGATGCTGGCCTCATAAAATGAGTTAGGGAGAAGTCCCTCCTTTTTAATTGTTTGGAATAGTTTCAAATGGTACCACCTCCTCTTTTACTTCTGGTGGAATTCAGCTGTAAGTCTGTCTGGTCCTAAGCTTTTTTGATTAGTAGGCTATTTATTATTGCCTCAATATCAGAACTCATTTTTGGTCTATTCAGGGATTCAACTTTTTCCTGGTTCAGTCTTGGGAGGGTGTATGTGTCTAGGAATTTATCCATTTCTTCTAGATTTTCTAGTTTATTTGCATAGAGGTGTTTATAGTATGCTCTGATGGTTGTTTCTATTTATTGTGGGGTCAGTGTTGATATCCCCTTTATCATTTTTTACTGTGTCTATTAGGTTATTCTTTCTTTTCTTCTTTATTATTCTAGCTAGTGCTCCATGTATTTTATTATTTTTTTCAAAAAAACAGCTCCTGGATTTGTTAATTTTTTGAAGTTTTTTTTTTTTTTGGTCTCTATCTCCTTCAGTTCCACTCTGATCTTGGTTATTTCTTTCCTTCTGCTAGCTTTGGCGTTTGTTTGCTGTTGATTCTCTGGTTCTTTTTTTTTTTTTTTTTTTTTTTTAATGCAGAGTCTTGCCCTGTTACCCAGGCTGGAGTGCAGTGGTGTGACTGCAGCTCACTGCAGCCTTCGCCTCCCAGGTTCAGCAACTCTCCTGCCTCAGCTGACTGAGTAGCTGGGATTACAGGTGCATACTACCATGCCTGGCTAATTTTTGTATTTTTAATAGAGACGGGGTTTCACCATGTTGGCCAGGCTGGTCTTGAACTCCTGACCTCAGGTGATCTGCCCACCTGGGCCTCCCAAAGTGCTGGGATTACAGGCATGAACCGCCACATCCAGCCAGTTCTCCTGTTGTCTTAGTTGTAATGTTAGGATGTTGATTTGAGATCTTTCTAGCTTTTTGATGTGGGCACTTAGTACTATAAATTTCCCTCTTAACACTGCTTTTGCTGCATCCCAGAGATGCTGGTATGTTGTCTTTTTGTTCTCATTGGTTTCAAAGAACTTCTTGATTTCTGCCTTAATTTCATTATTTACCCAGGAGTCATTGAGGTGCAGGTTGTTCAATTTCCATGTAGTTGTGTGGTTTTGAGTGAGTTTCTTAATCTTGAGTTCTTAATCTTGAGTTTGATGCGCTGTCATCTGAGAGACTGTTTGTTATGATTTCAGTAATTTTATATTTGCTGAGGAGTGTTTCACTTCCAATTATGTGATCAATTTTAGAGTCAGTGCCATGTGGTGCCAAGAAGAATGTATATTCTGTTGTTTTTGGATGGAGAGTTCTGTAGACATTTATCAGGATCACTTGATCCAGAGCTGAGTTCAAGTCCTGAATATCTTTGTTAATTTTTTGTTTAGATGATCTAATATTGACAGTGGAGTGTTAAAGCCTCCCACTATTACTGTGTGGGAGTCTAAGTCTCTTTGTAGGTCTCTGAAAACTTGTTTTATGAAACTGGGTGATCCTGTATTGGGTGCATGTATATTTAGGATAGTTAGCTCCTCTTGTTGAATTGAACCCTTTACCATTATGTAATACCCTTCTACCCTTCTCATCTTCATGGATTTATCTACCTTCGATCTTTGAGGCTGCTGACTTTTGGATGGTGCTTAACATTAAGTGTTCCACTGAGGACTGAATTTTGCTTACATTATGGACCCTGAAACTCTTATAAATGGCTATATGGCCCTCACTAAGTTGTATAGAAGGAAGCTCAGATTTGAATCTGTGACCCCACACATGGAATTTGTGTGCTTACTACTCCAGATTCTTACTACTACTCTACCCTTCTTTTCCTTGTATTTCTTTATTTTCTCTTGTTGAATTGTGTATATTGTAAAATTTTTTTGTCAGAAACAAATTTTGATTTAAAGTTTGTTGATTTAAAGTTTGTTTTGTCAGAAACTAGGATTGCAACTTCTGTTTTTTTCTGCTTTCCATTTGCTTCGTAAATTTTCGTCCATTCATTTATTTTGAGCCTATGCTTGTCTTTGCACATGAGATGGGTCTCTTGAATGTAGCACACTGATGGGTCTTGTGTTTTTATACAGCTTGCCATTCTGTGTCTTTTAATTGGGGCATTTATCCCATTTACATTTAAGGTTAATATTGTTATGTGTGAATTTGATCCTGTCATAATGCTGGCTGGCTATTTTGCAGACTTGTTAATGTAGCTGCTTCATAGTGTCATTGTTCTGTGTACTTCAGTGTATTTTTGTAGTGGCTGGTAATGTTTTTTCTTTATCATATTTAGTGCTTCTTTCAGGAGCTTTTGTAAAGCAGGCCTGATGGTGATGAATTCCCTCAGCATTTGCCTGTCTGAAAAGGATTTTATTTTTCCTTTGCTTATGAAGCTTAATTTTGCCAAATATGAAATTCCAGGTTGGAAATTATTTTCTTTAAGAATGTCAAATATTGGCAGCCCCCAATCTCTTCTGGTTTGTAGGGTTTCTACTGAGTGGCCCGGTGTTAGCCTCATGGGCCTCCCTTTGTAGGTGACTTGGCCTTTCTCTGTGGCTCCCCTTAACATTTTTTCCTTCATTTTGACCTTGGAGAATCTGAAGGTTGTGTGTCTTGGGGTTGATCTTCTTATGGAGTATCTTGCTGGGGTTCTCTGGATTTCTTCAATTTGAATGTTGGCCTGTCTTGCTAGGTTGAGGAACTTCTCCTGGATGATATCATGAAGTACGTTTTCCAATTTGTTTCCATTCTCCTCATCTTTTTCAGGTACCCCAATCAGTCATAGGTTTGATCTTTTTACATAATCCCATAGTTCTCGGAGGTTATGTTCATTCCTCTTCATTCTTTTTTCTCTAATTTTGTCTGCCTGTCTTGTTTCAGCAAGATAGTCTTCAAGCTCTGAGATCCTTTGCTCCACTTGGTCTATTCAGCTATTGACACAATGGTTGCATTGTGAAGTTCTCGTGTTGGGGCTCCTTTCCAGGATATCAGAGTTCTTTCCATAAACCTGTGGCTGGAGTTGCTGCAATTCCTGCAGGGAGGACCCTCCTGGTGAGGAGGGATGGATCCGGGTCCCACCTAGTGAAGCAGTCTGACCATGATCTGCCATAGCCACTGTGCTGCACTGTGGGGAATTCCTCTCAGTCCAAACTGCCCAGTCTTCCTGATACCAGCAGAGAAAAATGGCTGATTGGAGCCACAGTGATGGCGGCCACCCCTCTGCCTGGGAACTCAGTAGCCTTAGACAGTGTCCAGCCTGCTGCTGCTGGCTGCAGCCCAAGCAGGTTGCACAGCTCTGTGCTTGAGACCCAAGGCCCTGGTGGGGTGGGCTAACGAGGGGATTTCCTGGTCCGTAGGATGCACAGATCCGTGAAAAAACATTGTTTCCTGGGTGGGGTAGCACAGTCACTCACCACCTCCCTTGGCTGGGTGTGGGAGTTCTCCTTATCCCATGTGGCTCCTGGGTCATCACTCCACCCTGCTTTTCCTTGCTCTGTGTGGGTCTCACCAACTGCCTAGTCAGTCCCAGTGAGATAATCTGCATACCTCAGTTGATGGAGCAGGATTCATTTGCCATTTTTGCTCTTCTCTGGTGAAGTTTTATGGGTCAGTGCAGAGTAAGAAGAATTCAGTGAAATTTGGGTGCAGATGCAATAAACTTTATTTTATTAACCCATTTAATTTGAGTCATAATTTGGATTTAGTAGAGTTTCAATCGTAATATTTTTGGAATATTTAAAGGATTTAAAAATGAAGATAAAATACTTAGTTTGAATATGTATTTACACTCTTATTAAAATTAATTTAGGTGACCATACAATATACACAATTCAACAAGAGAAAATAAAGAAATACAAGGAAAAGAAGGGTAGAGTAGTAGTAAGAATCTGGAGTAGTGAGCACACAAATTCCATGTGTGGGGTCACAGATTCAAATCTGAGCTTCCTTCTATACAACTTAGTGAGGGCCATATAGCCATTTATAAGAGTTTCAGGGTCCATAATGTAAGCAAAATTCAGTCCTCAGTGGAACACTTAATGTTAAACCCCATCCAAAAGTCAGCAGCCTCAAAGATCGAAGGTAGATAAATCCATGAAGATGAGAAAAAAGTCAATGCAAACTGGGGAAGTTTATTTCCCTTTTAGTAGTCTCAAATTGTTATCTGTAATGTAAATGAAATAAATAATCTCTTTATAGAGTTGGCGTGAGGATAAAAATACAACCAATGTAAAGTGTGAAATATTAATATTATTACTTTTCTCATTTTTTATCTTTATGGTGAGAGGGCAGTATGGCATAATTAATTTTATATCATCTTCAGTGTTAGATCTGTGGTCAGATTTGTATGTTTTTGGACAGTTTACTTAATATTCCTATAGCTTGGTGTCTTCTGAATAATGGAAATAATTGTGCTACCTTCTAGGGTTGTGTAATGCTTAGAAAGGACAATGTAGTCATATTTTCTGAATGGAAATAAAAAACTTGAAAACTCCAATAGGCAAAGCCAGAAGTCAGTTGATAGACAAGGAAAAAATATTTGCCACTGACATCACAGACAAATATGTAACTTTCCTACTATATAAAAAGCTCCTAATACTGTGAAGAAAAAGACCAGCCACTGCACAGAAAAATGGTTGAAAGGCAGGAGTGGATAGATACAGAAAAAGAAATGGAAATGTCCATAAGCATGTGAAAAGATGCTCAGCCCCACTCATAGTAGGAGAAATAAAAATGAGATAACATTTCTCATGGCCACATTGGTGGAAACTGAAAGGTTTGACAACACACTGTGCCAGTGAATCATATATTGCTGCTGGTGGCAAATGGAGCATACCACTCCTGTGGAGGAATGTCTGGTAATAATCACCAAAAATTATAGCTGCACTTTACTCCTTGCTCCAGAAATCTCACTTCTGGGAATCTATTTTACAGATCTATCTACTCAATTACAAAATAGTGTATGTATAAACTCATTATGGCATCATCTCCAATAGAAAAAAACAGGAAACATTACCAGTGCCCACCAATAGTGACCTGATTCACCACACAGTGGAGGGCTATGCAGTTATGAAAAGAATGAGGACATTCATAAAATGCTGGTGTGAGATCTCCAGGCTGTATTACTGTTAACGGAGAAAGCAAGGAACAGCATTGTGTATATATTAAACTAAGAAAGATGAAAAAGTAAAAACAAAAATCTGTAATTATTTATATTTGTATAAAGACACATTGGAATGATAATCAAGAAACAAATAAAAATGGCTACCGTAATGGGTGTGGGGACAAGGTGGACAGGAATGGGGTGGAACTAAGATTTCTCAAGGTATACTTTTAAAAAATGTTGCTTTGATTTTCAAACCTTGTAAAAATATTAGCTAGTCAGAAATCATTACACGTGAACTTTATTTGTAAAGTAGTTAGCCCTTTACTATGTAAACTTAAGTGTCTTTCTCCAGGGCCCAAGAAAATGCCTTGGGGAAATTTGGCTTAACATAAATATTCTATAAAATAACAAAGCACCACAAATCTTCTGTTCCTAGATTTTACTTAATTTATAATTAGTCTGAGCTTGGAATCATTAAATTATGATTTGTATAAATTAAACTTAAAAAATTTAATCTCTTCTCTTTAAATATACAAGTAGGCTGGGGTGCAGTGGCTCACGCCTGTAATCCCAACATTTTTGGAGGCCGAGGTGGGAGGACTGCTTGAGGCCAGGACTTTGAGGCTAGCCTGGGCAACATAGCAAGGCCCCATTTCTATGAAACAAAATTTAAAAAGTAGCTGGGCCTGGTGGTACGCACCTGTAGTCCTGGCTACTCGGGAGGCTGAAGCGGGATAATTGCTTGGGCCCAGGAGTTTGAGATTGCAGTGGGCTGAGACCATACCACTGCACTTCCCCCTGGGTGACAGAGTGAGAACCTGTCTCAAGAAAAAAAGAAAAGATAAAGTAAAAATAAATAAATAAAAGTAAAGTTTTTGTCCCTCTCTGTGTATGTGTTACCACGTTACTTGCTCTTTCTCTGGTATTTAAAGTTAAAAGGGATTAAATATTTGCTTAATTATGAGTTAAAGCTCCTAACTCCTTAAGATTAGTTTGAACATTTTTTCAAACCAAATTGTTTCTAAACTACGTGATATCTGGAGAAAATCATAATAAGTCTGGACATTAAGAGTTTCTAATCGTGAATCTGCCACTGAGGTGCTGTGATCCCCTTGCTGGCCTGTATTCAACTGGTATCCAACAAATGTTTATTGAGCGTGTATATGTTCCAGGCCATGTTATAGAGCAATAAACAAAACCAACAAAACCCCTGTCCTCAATTTCTTATAGTCTGGAGGAAGACACTTCTTGCTGCCAGATGATCCACAATGAAAGAGGCAGAAGCCTGGAATGTGAAGCTCCAGACACTGCCTGAGACCAGTGTCCGTGACTGAGCACACCTATGTCACCATTGAAGACCTAAACAGTTTCTTACTACAAAGCATAGGTCACTGTGCCCAAGCTGTTCCCCAAAGGTGAGAGGGTGAGATATGGATGTGGAGATGAGGCGCTGTACTCTTTGGGTAGCCACTTTGTTCCTAGTCCTTCACAAGCACTGAGTTTCACTACGTTGGCCTCCCTAGAGTGGCCACAGAACTCCTTCCTCCACTTACACTCACTGTCTTCTCTTACTCCTTTTCCTCTAATTTTCTGTCCCTCGTTCTCCATTTTTCCAGAATTTATATTTCTCTACAGATATAATTTAATCCTAGGTCTTTCTAATGTTGCAGATATTCAAGTGTATCCTGAATATGAATATTTTTTTTTTCCTCTAGGGTCCTGTGGATTTACAGAGAGGAGGATCAAATGTAAATCTAGTGGAGAGAATTGTGGAAAGGGTGTGTGTGTGTGTGTGTGTGTAACAGTGGTAGTAGTAGCAGTAGTAGTAATAGCCATCCCCTCGGGTATAGCTGGGATCCTCTTAAAGTATTGGAATAAAATATTACATCTAACATTTTTGGTTATTTTTGAGTCGAGACTTTGAGTTGCTTGAGAGATTTATGTGGCTGCTCCTATTAACAAAAATTTGACATTATTTTTTGAAAAGGAGCAACCTTTGATATTCTTATACTTGGACTTTCCTTGCCTCGAATAATACTACAGTTGATGTTAATTGATTTAAAGGACATCCACTCTAGTTCCTTTAGTAGTTCCTGTTTTTTTCTTGGGTGGAGAGTAGAGGGTAGAGGAATAATAGGGTGGTAGTCAGTGTGTGGGGATGCTAAGTCTCAATTTTGGTTGGCCACAATATCAAAATGGAGAGTTAGGTTGGAAATTAAGTTTGGCATTTTCTTTCTTACCTTCCTAAATTATACAAGAGAATTTTCAGCATTCCTCACAAAAGCAAACAGAGTCAAAACCAAACTGACAATATACAATAACAAGCAAGCAATTTAATATTGGGAATTGCTAATTTCCTGTGGAGGGTGTAGATCCGTGTAAACTTTTTGAACTCTGTCTGGGCAGTTGTTCTTTGCAGTCACAAGTTTAGCATGCTCCTGGAATATCCTTTTTAGAGGCAGCAGGGTTGTTCAATAAAGATTAGTGGTGATGTGGGAGAGGATCAGGAAGAAGGTTAGCTTGAATAAGCAACAGAGAGATACAGAAGGAAATTATTATTATTTTTTGAGACTTTAAAGCCTACCCACGAAAACTCCTTTCTCTTTTCAGATAGTTTATGGTTCTGACAGATACTGTTTTGTACTTAAGGTGGGAGTCTGAAGTTGATACAGTCACATTCACTGTTGTTGAAGCGCTCTGTAATTCCAGTGAAACATCCTTGACAATAAGCATTTTGAGGCTTTCTCTCTTCAAAGAGTATTCCTAACCTAACAAGTGTGGCCATCACCACTTTAAAGACCCTGGAATAAATAGAAATCAAATGTTAATTATCCAGAACACTTGTTTAATATAATAAATTCATTTAATACTATTTGTTTATTACAAAAGTACCATGGTTAACAGATTTGTGCTCCTACTGTTGCCAAATGTCACTTAGTTACTGTTGAAATGAAGCTCATAAAGTGTGCTTTTCTTATTTACTAAAGCATAAGAGAAAGGATTTGCTTTCTTAATAGGAGAAAGTATTTTTGAAAGATATAATGCCCCAATGATTTTGTTTTTAAGTGGACACTTCTATTTATTTAAAATATTTCATAAGAGAAGTTGAATACCTTATTGTATATATAGAGTAACTTTTTTTCAGTAAGTGTAATTTAATTTTCATAGTCTTAAGTTTAAAATGAACAAATGAGTGATCTAAACATAGTGGCGCTTTTGTATCTTTTTTAAAAACATCATTGTAAAAATGTGTATTTATGTATTCCAGATGGCTTTTTTTCTTTATAGAGACTGGATCTTCTTATGTTGTCCAGGCTGGCCTCGAATTCCTTGGCTTAAGTGATCCTCCCACCTCAGCCTCCTCCTGTACTCAGCTGCGAGTATGGGAGCCACATGGCTTTTAAATAATAGCTGTGGCCTTGGCCAGGAGAAGGGCTTCATTGCTAGCTTTCAAGGTCAGTACAGGTAGAGCTAGGCACTACCTTCAGTGCTACCTCACCTCCTAAATAGAAAGCATACTGGGTTTTTATTCTATGATTCATTTGTTTGGGAGGAAACGAGATGACCATATTCTTGAAGAGGCCAAAAAGAGGATGTAAATGATGGCAGCAGTGGGCCGTCTGGAGTGGCTGTTGTCATCACGCTGGCTGCAGTGGGAAGGCATAGCTGAGGCTGCCTGCAAACTCCATGGAGTGGGTGGGAGCCTCACTTTCCCAGGCACAGGACCCAGGCGTCTCTGCAGTCTGCACCCTTGGGGTCCCAGGAAGACCCCCCTTGACCCTGAAGGCTTGGCGTGTCTGGTCCCACTGCTTGGCCTCTCCCTGCTCCCGGTGCCCACTCTGATCTTAGAGCAGACTAGGGGCCGAGCCTGGGCACCGTTAAAGCCTGGCTGGGTGTGTGCACACTCAGGGCAGTGCTGACATACCAGTCCCCTGCTGCCTCAGTCTTCTCTGGACTTTGCATGCTGACGAGCACAGGGTATGGGGGAAGCTGAGGGAGGACTGAGGGTAGCTGGATGCAAAGGAGGGCCTGAAGGCTGGGGGCTGGGCTGCCAGTCCTGTGGACCAGAGTGGTGCCTTTTCTGGGCCCACCCGTGGTTGCCCATGGATCAATCAGCATGCACTTCTCCCCCTCTGAGGCCCATAAAAGCCCTGGCCTCACCCAGAGCAGGGCAGACAACCAGATGACAAGCTGCAGAGAGGAGCTACCCTTTCTCCTGGGAGCTGAACACTTGTTAGGACGACCTGCCTGCAAAGAGGAGCTACCCTTTCTGCTAGAAGCTTCGTCTTGCTCACCCTTCACTTGCCTGTGTACCTCATTCTTCCTGCGTGCAGGACAAGAACTTGGGAACTGCCAAATGGTGAGGCTAAAAGAGCTATCACACAAACAGTGCTGCAACATGCCCCTTGCTCACCACGTTGTGGGCGAAAAGAAGGAGAGAAGAGCTGCAGCCCTTTGGGGAGCCCAGACCTGGGAGCTCCTGGAGCCAGGGCTGTGACTCCCTCTTTGGGGCCCTGCAGTTCCTGGCATCTCCAAGCTTTCAGGTGCCACCGCATTCCCCAGTGCCAGCTGGGGAAGCTGCTTGTGGTGCACCTGGTCCAGCCACAGCCTTTCAGAGAGCCGGCACCCATGCCGGGACCTGGAGCTGACTGCCCTGCGGCAGCAGCCGGCATATCTGACGGCGCAGCGGCCAGACCTCACACTCCCTCATCCACCCCTTGCCGCTCCATGCCTGACTCAAAGACTTCCTTGGAGGCATGGGATCCAGGCTGGTAGCATGAGCCGAGTGCAGCCTGCTAGGCCGAGTGGGCAGAACGAGCCCAGCAGGCATGAGCAAAACTTGGGCAAAGGCACCACGAGCCACAGGATTCTGGCCAGAAAAGCGACACTCCAAAGATCCTGTAACATAAACACTAATGTGGATGATTTGGTTATTGATTTACCTAGGGACAGAGAATGGGCCACAAATGTAAACATTTCTAGTGAAAATGCATTATTAAGAAGTGTGCTGTACATTTATATATTCTGCAGATACGGTGTAGTTTGAGGAAGTCAAAGGAGACTCCCTTTTAGAGTGTGGGCTTTTCACCTTATCACATGAAATTTTGTATGCAATGGTATATGGGTGAGAAAATCTATAAGCCTTTGGGTCTGGGGCAGATTGAAAATAAGCCAAAGGATTAGTTGGGGAGGGTGGAAATGAAATTTCTGAAGGAGGCATGCTTACTACCCTGCTCTCTGCAGGAATCGTAGAATTTCATTTGCAGCCATCTTCTCTCTCCACTAGAAGTACTCAGGACTCATGAGAAGAGAGATTATAGTAGAGAAGGGATCATGTTTCTAGTAGTGGGAAAATTCCAGGAGAGGAACTTTCTAGACCCTTCTTAAAAATGGTCTGGTGAGGGGGCAGGTTTTGACTATGAATGGGTATGAGGTAGCTGTTTCAGTGGATGAGCAGGGAATGTATTTACCCAGGTATGGACATTTGTCAAAACTCATTGTATAGTGCATTAATATTTGTGATTTTACTACGTAAAAATTTTGCCTAAAATAACTATAAATAATTATTAAGCTCTAGTTAATGATGTGCATGCTGCAGGTTTAGGGGTAAAGTGTACTGATCTCTGCAAATTTAATTTGAAATGCATTAAAAAATAATGACAGGCTGATGGAGGATAGATATATGATAAAGAGAGTTGGACAAAATGTTAATTGTAGAAGCCAGATGGTAAGTATGTGGGTGTCCATTGGAAAATTCTTTCAACTTTTCTGTATGTTTGAACATTTTAATAATAAAATACTGATGATGGTAGGGAGAAGGAACTAGAGAACAGAAACACTGATGTTTAGCTCTGAAGTTCAACAGCCTTAATCTTGGTGGAATACAGAACTACATAGAAAAAGAGTGACTCCCTGCTGCTCCTCTCTCTTGCCTAAAATAGGTTCCTTGAGCTAAGGACAGTGGATAGTTGGAGCAAAAAGCAAGACAGGTTGGCGCAGGTGAGTGCGCATTGGAAGGAGACCTGGGACCTCTTCACCTCTACCCACCCAGGCTGACTCTCCAGACAGCAGTAACATGGAAAGGAAGCCATTTTAGGTTGATGTAGCACTCTCTGCAAGTTTAGTAAGCTCCACCCTGACATTAAAAAGCACCTGAAAGTTGCCTAGCCTCCTGCCACATCCTGGGAAATGATGAAGGATGAAAGAAGACTAGAAGATGACAAAGTGCTTCGTGGTTGTGATAAAAAGTTTCAGCTGTGGATGGCAGCATAAGCCATGGGACTGGAAATGCATTAGAATCACAAATGTCCCAAGGATGTCAGTGGGACTGAAGGCAGCAACCAGAGAGCATGGCTCCTGCTGCCAGCTCAGGACCATTGCAGGCCAGACCCCTCTCCCACACCACGATGCCACAGAGCCTTCAGAGTAGACATGCCACCAAGGGTGAGAAGATGACTGATAAAACAGCCTCACCAAAATGTTAGCTCTTTGAGAACAGAGATGGTTTTACAAAGCTTTATGTGCCATAAAAACAACTTTCAATTCATTTTTGTTGAATTAGTTAAAAAAAATGGGCTTTTTAATGACCTGATCTATATTCACTGTCTTCATTTACTTATGGTACTGATTTCTCAACCCAATTCAGTCATGTTCTGGCCCCTTCATCTCACATCATCAGCTCCTGCTAAAGTCAGCTGTGATGTCTATGATAGCAAATCTAAGGGATGATTTAGCAGTTATCTTATTTGTTCTCACAGCAGCACTCAACATCACTGACTTTCCTTCTAAAAATATTTAAATTATGCAAAATTTCAAAATGAGAGAAGTTCAGAAAATATTATAATAAAAACTCACATACTAACTACACAGATTTAACATACATTAACATTTTGCCATATTTGCCTCAGGTTGTGAAATCTTTTTCTTAAGGAATGAAATGTTACAATTTTAACTGAAGCCTTCATCATTCCTACAGTTGATGTCTATCATTACCATGCAGAATTTTTAACTTTTATTAAATAAATGTATATAATATGGTCTATAGGATTAGTGTATCAAGCTCCATAACAATTTCTGGGAGAATTTTGATTGTTATTGTATTGAAGTTAGAGATCAATATGGGGGTGAATTTGCATCTTTCTAATACCAGTTCTTCCTGTTTGTGAACGTTGCATAGCTTCATTTATTTGTACAATTTCATAGCTCTCAATAAAGCCTTATAAATTTCTTTATAATGATCTTATATCCTTTTTCTTGGATTTACTAATAGATAAATTATAGATTTTATTTCTCTTGGTTATGGTATATTATAAAATTACATTTCTGATTGTCACTGATGTATAGAAAGATGAATTGAATTTTATATTGATTTTATACTTAGCACCCATTTTAGAACTTTCTTATTAGTTGTAACATTTTGTAGATTATCTTCAATTTCTATGTAGACAATCATATCTGAAAATAATGGTAGTTCTGTTTTTATCCTTTTTTTTTTTGGAATAGAGACAGGGTTCCTGGTAGATAGCACTACCCGGGCACACCACCACATCCATCTATTTTTTTTATTTTTTGTAGAGACAGAGTCTCCCTATGTTGCCCAAGCTGGTCTTGAACTCCTAGGCTCAAGCAATTCTCCTGCCTCAGCCTTCCAAACTGTTGAGATTACAGGCATAAGCCACTGCCCTCAGCCTGTTTTTTCCATTTAAATCTTTATACTTTTATTTTTATTTTCATACAACACCCTGTAGGAGCTTTGTAATGTTGAGTAGAAGCTGTGAAATCAGGCATCCTTGCTTTTTTTGTGACGTCAAAGCATGTGACTCTAACTTTTCTCCAGTATGAAAGATGGTATAGTTTAGCCCTTAACAGTGTGGGTGGTGGATCTAGACAGCCTGAATTTAAATCCTGGCTTGGCCACTTACTCCCTATGCAACAGTTGGATTAGTTACTGAATGTTTCTGTGCCTCAGTATACTCATATGCCAATGAGTATAATAAATTTATCTCAAAGGATTGTTATTGTCTGACACTTAGTAAATGCTCAATAATGTTTTATTAATATGATGATATTTGTTGTAGGTTTGTGGTAAATGTCTTTGTATTAGTCTGTTCTTGCAATACTATAAAGAAATACCTGAGACTGGATAATATATTTTAAAAAAGAGTTTTAATTGACTCATGGTTCCACAGGCTGTATAGGAAGCATGATGCTGGCATCTGCTCAGCTTCTGGGGAGAAACTTACAATCATGGGCAGAAGGCAGAGGGATAGCCAGCATTTCACATGGCTAGAGCAGGAGGCAGAGAAGAGGGAGGTGCTATACACTTTTAAACGACCAGATCTCCTAAGAACTCTACCAGGAGAACAGCACCAAGGGGATGGTCTAAAGTATTCATGAGACCACCCTCATGATCCAGTCACCTCCCACCAGGCCCCACCTCCAATACTGGGGATTACTGTTCAACATGAGATCTGGTGGGGACACAGATCCAAACCATATCAGGGTTTTATCAAGTTAAGAAAGTTATCTTCTATTCTTATTTTTCTAGGACATTTTAACGTGGCTGGATGTTGAATTTTACTAAATGCTTTTTCTGTACATAGAAATAATAATATATGGTGTTTCTTCTTTAAATTGTTAATGTGATTATTTACATTGCCTTTTAAAAAGTGAACCTTTATTATTGTTAAAGGAATAAAGGCACATTGTTTAAAAAGTAAAATTGTACTGCGAGGCTTATCCTCCCAAATCTATGTTCTTTGTGCCACTATTTCCATTCCAAATCCTGCTCACCAGTAGCAAGACTGGCAAACCTCAAACATTTGAGCTGTTTTTCTTCCCCCTCCTTCAGGCATTTACCTCCATGTTTCTTAATGATATGCCTCTAGGCATACTACTATGCCTAAATATTTTCATGTTTAGATACTATCTAAATATTGTAGCCCCTGAGGAAGGGTGCAAATGAGATATAGTTTGAGATTTTTATTTCCTGAAAATGTTATTAGAGTTTAATGTAATATAGAGTTATCTCTTTTTTTCATTTAAAAACCTGTTTATTTTGAGACAGTTTCAACTCTTTCTGAAACTTTTCAAAAATATTTTTGTTTTTTAATTGACAATACATATATTTATGATGTTTAAAAATATGTTTACATTATGGATTGGCTAAAAAGAGCTATTTAAAACATGTATTACCTCACATATTTATCATTTTTTTGTGGTGAGAACACTTAAAATGTACCCAGTGATTTTCAAGTATACAATACATTGTTATTAACTATAGTCACCATGTGGCACAATAGATCTTGTACAATAGATCTCCTGGACTGATTCCTCTGAACTGAAATTTTGTGACTGACCAACATCTCCTCAATCCACCCCTCCACCTGCCATCCCCATAATGGAAAGTTACAAACCACTCTACTCTCTGTTTCAATGAGTTTGACTTTTTTGGATTCCACAAATAAGTGAGACCATGTAGTATTTATCTTTCTGTGCATTACTTATTTCCCTTAACATAATGTCCTCCAGGTTCATCCATGTTGTCACAAATGCCAGGAATTTGTTTGCTCTTAAGGCTGTTCCTACCTTAGAATGGGGCCTGACCAGGCTGCTTGGATGCTCTGTGAGTATGTGGTTGGGACACACCCAGAGGTGGCTTCACTGTAGGGGTTTGGGCATGGAGTGAGCCTCTTTGTTACCTACTGTCATCTGCTCTCTTTTTCTGATTGCCTTCTGGATTAATAGCTTAAAAAATCACCATATGGTCATTTTAGTAATGTTTCAGGAAGGAGTAAAGATACATGCCTCTGTTCATGTTTAAGTGAAGTGCATTAATCTGTCTTCTAATAGTAAACCTCTCATACTTCTGGAAAATCCCTAGATTACTCATATATTATATACACAAAATTCTTGATTTGGTTTTCCAGTATTTTATTTAGAATATTTGTATTTTTGGTTATAAGTGAGATTGGCCTCTCCGTTTCCTTTTTTTTGTTTTTGTACAGTTCTTGCCCAGATTTGGTATCAAGATCCTATCAGCCTCATGCAATCAGTTAGGGAAGTGTTCTTTATTTTCTGTCCTTGAAAATTGTTGGGATTAGAGATTATATGTTTGTTGATAGTTTTGAAGAACATGTATAAGGTATAAGGTTTTCTGCTTGCAGCGAGTTTTTTTTTCTCTTTTGATTTTTGTGGGTAGATTTTAAACCATTGACTCCAATTTTTCAATGGTTATAAATCTCTTAAAGCTTTATATTTCTTCTTGTGTCATTTTACATAATTCATATTTCCCATGCATTTGATCAATTTTTTCCAAGTTTTAAAATTTTTTGGTATAGAGTTATTATTGTAGTTTCATATTATAAAATCTCTAATATCTCTGTTATTATTCCTTATTTTATACATGATACTGTTTATTTTTACTGTCTCATTTTCTGATCAGTACTGCCAATGACTTGTGTATTTTACAGTCTTTTCAAAGAAGTAGCTCCAGGTTTTGGGAATCATGTTTATTTTTGTTTTCTTTACTTTGTGCTCTAATTTTTATTTCTTGTTTTTACATTTTTATATTTGCTGTAAATTCTGTTTTCAGATTCTTGAGAACAAATAGCTTACATATTTGTGGTCTTTCTTGTTTTCTAGCCTACATTTAAATATAAGACATTAAAAGAAGCAAATGTAACTACTCCCAGAAGTTTATATATCTAGTGCTTTTTATGTTTCTTTTCTTTTCTTTTTTTCTTTTTGTTTTCTTTTTTGAGACAGTCTTGTCTTGCTCTGTCACCCAGGCTGGAGTGGACTGATGCGATCTCAGCTCACTGCAACCTCCGCCTCCTGGGTTCAAGCAGTTCTCCTGCCTCAGCCTCCAGAGTAGCTGGGACTACAGGCACATGCCACCATGCCCGGCTAATTTTGGTATTCTTAGTAGAGACGGAGTTTGCCATGTTGGCCAGGCTGGCCTCGAACTCCTGACCTCAGGTGATCCACCTGCCTCGGTCTCCCAAAGTGTTGGGATTACAGGCATGAGCCACTGTGCCCAGCCTATGTTTCTTTCTGATCCAAATTTCTATGATGGCTTTTTAATGCATGAAGTATTTAGAAGTACAGTTTTTAGGTTCCATCTCTGTATTATATTTTTTGAAGCTATCTGGTATGGTTTGGCTCTGTGTCTCCACCCAAATCTCATCTTGAATTTTACTCTCATAATTCCCAAGTGTTGTGGGAGGGACCCAGTGAGACATAATTTGAATCATGGGGGCGGTTTTCCCCATACTGTTCTCATTGTAGTGAAAAAGTCTCACGAGATCTGATGGTTTTATCGGGGGTTTCTGCTATTGCAACTTCCTCATTTTCTCTTGCTGCTGCCATGTAAGAAGTGCCTTTCACCTCCCACCATGATTTGAGGCTTCCCCAGCCATGTGGAACTGTAAGTCCAATTAAACCTCTTTTTATTTGCAGTCTTGAGTATGTCTTTATCAGCAACATGGAAACAGATTAATACACTGTGTTTAATTTATTGACTTCTATTTTCATTGCATTTGAAGTAAAATAATGTGGTCTGTATCATGTTGAGTCTTTGATGTTAAATTTTATTTGATCTGTAACATGGTTTATTTTTGGAAATATGTCTGCTTAAAAATATGAATTTTCTATTTGTTAGGAATGAAGTTTTATACATGCCTAGTTTGCTTACTTTGTTACTCAAATATTGTAGTCACACTCTTTTTGTTGTTATTGTTTGCTTGATTTCTCAGTGGTTGAGGAGCAATAATTGAGTGTCAGTACAGTACAGGAGTCTAAAAAATGTGTGTGTTGGGGAAATAAAAGAAAATCACTGTTCTAGCACTCTCTAGCTGTGTGAACTGGGGCAAGTTACTTAACCTATTTGTGCCTGTTTCCTCATCTGTAATATTGATATGCTAAATAAAGTAATCTACTGCTAGTGATTTATTTTGCTCAAAATTGAATTGAAAAATGAATTGCTCATCCATGTACTCATTTAACAAATATTCATTGACTGCCTATTCTGTGCCAGTTCTGCTCTTGGCACATGTGATATATAAGTGAATGGTGTGTGCAAAAATCCCTTCCCTCCTAACACTTAGATTATCTTGGGTGGAAGGATTGAAGTTCGGGCAGGTATCAGGTTCTAATTTTAAATAGGGTGGCCATGCTAAGCCTCATCGAACTGATGGCATCTGAATAGAAACCTGGAGAAACTGAGGAAGCTAGTCATGGTGATATCTGGAGCAAGAGTGTTGTGGGCAGAGGAAAGAGCCAGTGCAAAAGCCACAGGACCAGACTATGGTTGGCATAAAGTAAAATTCAACCATGTTTTGGAAAGATGTGAGCAAGGGAGTGAACAGTAGGATAAGTGGTCTGATAGGTGAGAGGGAGCCACGTGCATAATGCCTTGTAAGTCGTTATGTTCATAGTGCCTTGTAAGACATGTAAGCTTTTGACAGTCACTCGAAGTAAAGTGAGAAGTCAGAGGCATTTGAGCAAATATTTGAACAAACATGTATTCTAAAAGAATTGCCCCAGTGTCTGTGTTAAGAACAGGATGGTATGGAGGAAAGTGTAGAATCATGGAGACCAGTTATGAAGCTACTGAAGCAATATAGGAAGAAGATGATAATGGCTTGGGCTCAAGGGTAGCAGAGGTCGGGGTGAGAGGTGATTGGTATACTTTGAAGATAGAGTCAACAGGACTTCCTGACCTATTGGATATGGAGTAATGAGAGAAAGTGAGGAATAAGGAACACTCCACTGTATTTGGCTAGGGCAACTGTAACAGGGGAGTATCACTTGAGATGGGGAAGACTATGAGTGGGGCAAATTATGATGATAAAAATTAGAAGTTTGATTTTTGGTGTGTTAAGATCGAGAGTCTATTTAGACATCCAAGAGGAGATGCTGAGTTGGGGTGAATGAATTATTACACAAAGAACTTAGAATAGTGCCTGACAAATGTTAATGTTATTGAATGCTATATGTGTTTATTAAGAGAAATATATTAAAGTTTTCCCACTATAATTCCAGATTTTCAAATACCCTCTTGTAGTTCTGTCAATTTTTCTTTTTTGTAATTTAAATATGCTATATACTCCTGGAGAATTGTTCTTTTATCATGTACTGACTGTATCCCCAGTGATTATTTTTGCCTTAGGGTTGATTTTGTTTTGAATGACATGGAAATAAATGTACCATCTTTTTTGTTTATTATTTGCCTGGTATACATTTTTTCATCACTTTACTTTCAACTTGTCTGTGTCATTATGGTTTAGGCATATCTCACAAACTGCACATAGCTAGATTTTATTTTATTTTTAAAAATCTAATCTGAAGTCTCTGTCATTTAAATGAAATTTTAGTCTATTTGTATTTTTTTATTATTTTACTTTAAGTTCTTAGATACATGTGCAGAATGTGCAGGTTTTTTACATAAGTATACATGTGCCATGTTGTTTTGCTGCACCTATCAACCCGTCATCTAGGTTTTAAGCCCTGCATGCATTAGGTATTTGTCCTAATGCTTTCCCTCCCCTTGCCTCCCACCCATCTATTTGTATTTGTAAAATTACCAAAATATTTGGATTTATTTGTGCCACGGTAAATTACTTTCTATGTATTATGTATTTTCTTTGAATTTGTTTCTTCCTTCTGTCAGATAGAGCTAATCACTTGACTATTTTCTCTCTACTGGCTTGTGATTACTACACTTACTTTCTATTTTTTAAATTGAAAAATGTACATTTTTGACATTCTATTAACCTTTACATTTTAACATTTTATGCAAATAATATTTAAGGGTCATCTGCTAATATTGCATGGGGAGGAAGAGGATTGGAGTTTCAAGGAGTGGAGGAGAATCAAAGCCACTTTGGAGAGGGAAAGAGTGACTTGAACAGTGCATCATTAATTGGAATGCCAAGTAATGCTGGAAGCCTGTTAGGGTTGGTAAACATGAATTTAAAGTGGAATCATTCTATTTTATTCTGTGACTTTTTCTATATAAAGAATATAAGTTTTAGTCACAAGAGGACAAACAAATTTAAAGTGTTTAAAACCTACTTGAATTGTAGGTCATGGAGTAAAAGATGGCTAAGGGAGAAAGTACTGAAAAAATAGTTTGGAAGCAAGAAGACTGCTTAATAAAATAGAAATCTCAGTGAGGTTTAAGTGGGAATACTTTAGCCAGCGGAAAAGAGAAAATTTGTGGGATATTTCAATAACTGATTTTGGAGGTAATATAATTAGAGTTCAAAAGTTCCTAGAAAATAACCAGACATAAGGAGACTGAAATCTCAGAGACCAGGGGTTAAGATGGGCACTGGAGTCCCTCATGGTGATGGCAGGGCTTGGGCTGAAGAGGAAGACCATGAGCCAGATGCCAAAGTCTTTGTCAAAAGAAAGAGAGTAATAAGGAGGTCTGTAGGGGACAGCAGCAATTAAGAAGTAAGTAGAAATAGTGACCCCCAGAGAGCAGGGTTTGTTTAGTCTTTTATGAGAAATTGGAGGAGTTGTCACCTGGGAGACACAGGACACAGTGAGGAGCAAGGAGGGCCTCAACCCACTCTGTCAGGGTTTTGCTTAAATACATTCCATTGTATAGAAAATTTGGATTTTATCTAGGTGTGATGGAACACCTTTGAAGTATTTTCAGCAGAGGAATAAAATAGTCTGGTTGATATTTTTTAAAAATTGCCTTGTGTGACTTGTGGAAACAGACTACAGTGGACAAATGTGGAGGCAGGAAGGTTAGTTAGGAAGCTACTATATTAGTGGAGGTGAAAAAGATGGTGGTTTGTACTAGGGTGGTAGCCATGGTAATGGAGAAAAGTGGTCAAATTCTGGAAGTTGTCAGTGTTTGGTTTCCTTTAATGAGTAACTACACTAGGTGATGGCAAAAAATGTTGACTTGATGATTTTGCCCCAATTGAAGACTCTGCCTACATTCTGGAAGACACTTTCAAATGGTGATGAGTTCTCTTCCTTTCTAGGTTTCAGTTACCACCATGCCAATTACTTTACTCACAGCACATCTTCCAACTTGGACTCAGTGGGAAGGCAATCTTCTGGCCCAGAGTCTAAAAATAAAGTTGATTCTAAAGAGGAAGACACTACTGAAGGCCTTTGCCTCAGTTTGTCCAACCACTGTCCAGCATCCCCGTGATTAGGTTAGGACTCGTAAGGGTCGGAGTGAGTGCTGGGTATGCTGTGTTCATCATACCACAAATACTAGTCATCTCAACTAAATGCTCTTGGAAATATGATAGCACTGTAGAGAGGGTGCTTTCATGGGAGATTTTGCACCTACACTCATCCAACACGCAAGTATTCTTGGGAAGATGAACAAAGGTGTCCTTAGTCATGGGCTCAGCAGCATTTCTATTTACATATGCAATTTCTCCTCCAGACCAGAGTCTAGTGAAGTCCTACCTTCTTCTCTTCCTTCTTCTGAGCTTCAGCCTTCTGCCTTCCCTCTCCTGATGATTGATGATTCTTCTTTTTGCATGGGATCTCCTTCTTAGGCAAGCTCTCTGCAAACATTTTAGCATCAATCAGGCCATATTCTTGCAGCTACAACTTCCTCAAGGCAGTGCAGAATTGAGATTGATGGATGCAGGTAAGAAACAAAGGGTTGGTATTAAGAAGACCTTGTGAAAAGAATGCTCCAGGAGCTACCTGTTGAGATGCAGTGGAGTGCAGGCAATGGTGATGATCGCTGGGGAGTCATATTCACTCACCAGAGACTTCTTAGTCCTCACATGAACCTCTAGCAGCCCCAGGGTTTACTTGACAACCTCTGTATTCTCTGAGGTATGCTTATTGATATTCAGGGTGGCCAGATTCTAGGGACCAAATGGAGGGACAACAAAGCACTCAGTGCTCAACAGATAGTTTGCTCTCAACCACAGTCTACCACTGACAAATATTATAATACCCTGGAAGGATATTTGCAAGGAAATTCAGATGTGAGGTGGGTTTAGTCAAGGCTGAGTGTGACCATGCTGGGAGCCCCACATTACTGAGCAGTGATGAAAGCCTTGCTCATGGCTGGTTTTGGGATTTGTGCACAGGGTCCTAGCCACCATAAACCTGCAGGAAGAGGAGATAGCCTAGACAATTTTTGGATGTAAAGAGCTGACAGGACTTATTCATGGATTGGATATGGGGTTTGTGCAAGAGACAGAAGACAAGGAAATGCTTAGATTTTGGGTCTCCTTTAGCTACATCCTTTAAAATGTTCTACTTTGATTCTCTCAAGCAAACCACTTCTGCCTCTGTGTTTTGTGACATGTGTATTTGTGGGTTCATTAAGCTGAAGGGCCTGGCAGCAGGGACTCGAAGCTTTTCTAGTGGGGAATTTCTAGGGATTGATTAGTTCCCTAATTTCTTGGCTAGAAAACTCACTTCATAAGCCTTTTTAAATTTATATAAGCTTACAAAAGAAAGAATAACACTCTGAAACTGTTAGCCCTTCACCCACTACTGACTTCTTCCTGTAGTACAAATGCCAAATGTACCTTTTAATCTTTCTCTGTAAATTGAAATTGTATTTTGGGAATTCCTGGTATGAGTTAATCAGATTTAGATTGGTGTGACCTGTGAGTCTTAATGAAGAGTAAGGTCTTGTGATTTTCCTTTGCAAGGACATATGAAGGCAGTGAGATAGAAAAAAATACAGGAGGCCGGGCCCGGTGGCTCACGCCTGTAATCCCAGCACTTTGTGAGGCCAAGGCGGGCGGATCACGAGGTCAGGAGATGGAGACCATCCTGGCTAACATGGTGAAACCCTGTCTCTACTAAAAATACAAAAAAAAAATAGCTGGGCATGGTGGCAGGCGCCTGTAGTCCCAGCTACTCGGGAGGCTGAGGCAGGAGAATGGCGTGAACCCAGGAGGCAGAGCTTACAGTGAGCGGAGATGGCGCCACTGCACTCCAGCCTGGGCGACAGAGCGAGACGCTGTCTCGGAAAAAAAAAAAAACAAAAACAAAAACTACAGGAAATTTATCAAATAGTATGAATCTGGAATTAGAAGAAAAATTTAAAATGTAGGTGGCAAACATTGTTCTGTCTACTCTTTTGAAATGTAACACTTTTCTTTATGAAATGTGTTTCATATGGAAAACATTTTCTATAGCTTCTTTATGTGATAATACCTCAAATCCAGGTCTTTTAGGACAAAGGTTTGTTTTTGGAAAGCTTGGGTAAGCAAGGGGCATTTTCAGAAATGACTACGTTGGGAATTTGACTGGAGCTGAAAACTCTGCAGCCTCCCCCAAAACACTGACTGTGTAAAATTAGTAAGTAAATTTACTTAAACTCTTTTTAAAGGGTCTGTTGGAAATTTCTCAGAAGCCACATGATTAAGAGTGAATAGTTATGGCCTTGGAGCTTTTAAATTTTCATATTTTTAAAACTTAGAAGGAAAAGTCATTGTTTATAAGGGTGTTTATAAAACAGCAATGTGATTTTTGTAATCTATTAACATGACATTACTGAATGAATATCTTTAACCGTCCTTGATCTGTAATAGAGAGAGATGTTCTGTGTGAATAAACTTCTTCAAGAAACTTGGGAATTAAGTGGAATTAAGCATATATGCTCTTTACAATTACAGAGCAACTAAAGCACACAATGTGTTAAACATTAAAAGAGGGATTTTTAGGAATCATGAGAAGAATTGTGATCTCACAATCTATTTAAACACATCACATTGCTTTATTACAGTTTCAGACTTTATTTAAAAACTATTTTAAGGTTAGCTCATTGATTGGCAGCAGTAAATTTGGTATCTTTACTTTGTTTTTAAGCTGAACCCTCTCTCCAGAAATGCCCCTCAAAAAGCATATTTTATCAGAATTAAATCCTTTACCAGTAATTTCCTTGGTTAAATCAAAAGCGTGATGTAAAAATGAAAGGAGTGTATCTTATGGCAATAAATCTGGTGAACAGCAAAAGTAGCTACTTAAATCATAGACAGGATTAAATGAAACAATGAGAATTATACCCTTGGGTGGTTAAAAACAGTTATTAAAGAACACCATTGTGTTGGAGCTCCTTTGATCTTTCTTGCTCAATTAAATGTCTTCTAAACATTTGATTCATTTTCAGAAATGAATTTGAGCTGTTTAAAAATATTTCTTTTCAAAACTGCTTTCCATATTCCCAAATAAATTGAGCATAATTACTACTGTGATTGTATTATGAATGTAATTATTGTAATTTTATTCTTATACATGTATTTATTCTTTGAGAATAGTTGCACCAGAGTTAAAGAATTGTGGTGGTTAATATTAATAAATGAGAAAAGAGGTTATGGTTAGCTAGTCAAAAGGTGATTTTTTTTAACCTGTGTAAAGGCAGTTCCACCTACTCAACCATCTTGTTCTTTGCAGTTTTAGCTCGTCTTTATAACTGAGAGGTTGAATAACCAGAATGTGGATCAGGAATTCTTTTTTTCCCTTTTATCCCTATCACTGGTGGCACTTGAGTGATGGTTAAGCATTGTCTACAACATAGAAATCATACCTGATTAACCTAGAAATCATAACATACCTGTGCCATGCTATGTTATGTTCACACATTTCCACTTATATAGATTAACTAACTGTAACTGATATTTTCTTAAAACATTCAAGTGAATATTTATATTAGGCAACATAGTCTGTGTTAGACCATTTAAGACTAAATTATTTTATTAAATTTTTACAATACACTTGTGAGTTGAATGGTGAGAGAGGAAGTATTGGCATTTGTGAGATATTGCAGAATGGCTTTTGGGCTGGCTTAATTCACAGACAAGCTCTTTCATTTATCGAAGTACACATTTCCACAGATTATGTATTCTGAATGCCAGACTACAGGGGGGAGAGAGAGAGTGAGAGAGAGAGAGAGAGAAACAGAGAGAGAGAGGAGAGAAACTTCACCTGCTGGCTGCTTGTCCCTGGGACTGTCTTGATCTGGACCTTCCTGTCTTGCACAGATAGTGCTGGCAGTGAGCAGGACATGATGGCTCCTGCAGGGCACCACTTCCTTTCTGAGACCCCTATTTTCAGTTAATCAGATTCTGTTGGGGCAGGTGGAAGTTGAGTTTCCAAGTTCCACTCTAGATTGGGCCTCAGCCTTCTTGAGGAGCCCTCCACTGAGCAACTGTCCCCTGAGCATTCACAGTGTATGAGAATATGCAAGAAGTGACTGCTTACTTTTCATTGATTGATTTATTCTTCCATATCATCTGGAGGAAGGAGGATTTAAGTAGGTTTGCTCCACTCTTTCAATCGGACAGAATACATTTTAAACCAAAGAGTATTGTGAACCCTGAATATTAGTATAGCCTAGTCTTCTTCCAGGGGAAGAAAAAATAATCTGAGAAGGAAAATCCCCATTTCACAGGCTGATATCAGCTTTACCCATTTGGATTCCAATGAAGATAAGATAATCACAAACATGAGATGTGTCCAGAACCAAAATAAAAACTAAATTGCTCCATCGGGCTCTAGTGCTTATGCTGTTAAACTTTCCAGTTTTTGGTGCTTCCTATGAAAATGCTGATACTCAGCTATTTCCAAGTGGTAGGGATAGAAATGTTTGTCTAGAATACAATATAATAGCACACTTAAGATAGAATTCCACCAGAATATATATTCTTTATAGGCAAGAACTTTATTTACTGTTGTATTCCCAGTGCCTGGACCCTTAATAAATACTTGTTGAATGAATAAATGACTCTCAAGAGAATGGAATTTGCATTCAAACAGACCATGTATTAGTCCAGTTTCTCCAGATAAATAGAACTAATGGGATATGTACTGTACATCTATCTAGAGAGAGATTTAATGTAAGATATATGCTCATATAATTATGAAGGTGCAGAAGTCCCACAATCTATCATCTGCAAAGCTGGAGACCTAGGAAAGCCAGTGGTGTAGTTCCAGTCTGAGTCTGAAGGTCTGAGAACCAGAGGAAGTCAGTAGTATAAATCCCAGTCAAAGGGCAAGAGAAGACTGATGTCTCAGCTCAACAAGGCAAGCGGGAAGCAATAAGGGGGTAAATCCTTCTTGTACCTCTTTTTTCTGTTCAGGCCCTCAGTGGATTGGGTGATGCCTACCTACACTGGAGAGGACAATCTTCTTTACTGAGTCCACTGATTCAAACCTTATCTGGAAACACCCTCATAGACACTCCCCAAAATAATATTCAACCTAGCACCCCATGGCTGATCAATCTCTACCTGATACTCTGTGACTATTCACAAAACTCTATAAAGTCACACTGTCACACTTCGATATTGTGAAGAGACAATGCCAAAGCATCACTGTTTTTTTTTTTTTGCTTTGAGCTGAGTATAGCAAATGGGCATGATTGCATTGGCTATTTAATATGTATCAGATGATGGGAAGTAGGCATGTATTTGATTAAAAATTGAGACAAACTAACATGGCTGAGATTCATGTGTTTTTTATAGTAGGGGTAGGCAAAGACATTAATAGAAAAAAATAGAAGAGAAAGAATCATTAGCTTCACTTTGCTAAGTTGCCCCCAATTTCATTTCAGTTAGTAAAATGTATCTCTTGTGAAGTTCAAGGTCTGTTGGTGATAGCCATAGCCACCCATGAGGAGGTTAATCATGACACTTTCTTGTATCACGTGGAAAAAATTCACCAGCTATGTAAACTGCTTCACTGTTTTGAGAATGTCATCTAAAACACTCGTATTTTTATCAAAATTTGTAAAATTGTAGTCTATCTTCTCAACAATTTTTTTTCTGCATTTTTAAAGCCTATTACATTTCCTTTAGAATCTTACTTGATAGAGGTATTCCAAAACCCATGCTAAATTGAGTGCCACCTATTCAGGAATATAGCTTCTACTCTTTCTAAAGAGCAGGCACCCACCCCACCCCACCCACTGCCAATGATAGCAGTAAATCTCCCACCGAAGTCCATGGCTTTATATTTCCCACAGCTCTTGTATTTCTTCAATTCCAGTGGGGAGCCCAGGACGCTCATCATTCTGTGCTACTTGCACTTCGTGCTCTGGATCTCTTTAGGCCTGTAACCCTTGCTTTCCTGAACAGCTTTGCCTTTTGTTTCTCTTGTTTCCACATATGTATCCAATGTCTATTTCTAAACATATTTCTAAACTGAAGCTTATAGTTGGTGCTGTCACCTTAGCTGGCCCTTTAGGGGCCCAGTGAAAATCAGTATGTCCCCTGCTCTGTGCCTATCTCCCCAAACCTGGCCTTTGCTTATATTTCACATTCCCCTGGTTTGGGATAAGCTCCCTTACTTTGATGGCAGTGCTAATATCACTTTCTCCTATCCCCTTTTCTCTGGCTTATAGCTGAGAAACAGGATTATGGAGAAACCAATGCTGGGTCATCAGCAATTTAAAAGCCAGGACACCAAAGCTCGGTATGGGCTGAGTTAGGCTTGCCCCAGTCCCGGAAATGAGTGCCATATCCACATGGAATAAACTGCATGTATTGGAAGTATATAATTTCTGAGTTTTGGCATAGGTATGTACCTATGAAATAGCATTACAATCAAGAACATGAACATCTATATTACCCCTGATGTCCCCTCTTTGGTATTCCACCCTAGACTTTAGAAAACCAAACTAGTGTGACAAAATTTTAAAATGTTGATAAGAACCAGTGTTGGTGAAAGTAACAGGAAATAGTCTGTTTCATCTATTATTAATGAAATAGGAAATTGATATGACTATTTTAGAGAAAAATTTGCAAATATTTGAACAAAGCCTTCAAATTATAATTCCTCTTTGGCCCAGAAATTTAAATAAAGTGCTTAAAAGTGGTATAAGAATTTTTGTCAAAGTGTTTCTTGTAATATTAATAGCAAAAAAAGAAACATAGAAACTAAATGTATGTTAAAAATGGAACAGTTAAATAAATAAGGAAAATATATACATTGAAATATATATATGCATTAAAGAAGATAGATTATATGTACAGATTCCAAAGTATTTTAATAAGTAAAAGGAGCAAGATGAATGACATTGTTTAAAAACGATTCAGTTTTTGTAAGAAAATCTGTATAGATAGTAAAAAGTGTGGAAGATATAAAAGGAAATATTAGCAGTGTTTTTTTTTAGGTGGAGACATTGAAGTTGATTTCATTTTTATTCCTTTTACATTTCTGTATTGTATGGAAATTTCAAAAATTGAACATTTGTTATTTTATAATCTGAAAAGAGCTAAGGCTATTTTTATTTGGAATGAGATAAAAATCTTGATAGCCAGCCTAGAGATTTTAGAGAACCATGACAATCTGTGAACTATTATTTTAGCGTATTTGCATGGGCCTGTATTGCCTGTAACTTCATTGCTTTATAGTTCTATTAGTGGGTAATACAGTGTTGGTGGATTATTTTGTTCCTCAAGACACTTAGATCTGATTACAAATTTACGACGATGCAGCTATAGCAAGCAGCCCATTCAGACTAGGCAATTACACAATTAAAATGATTAGTTGCAATTATACCTATATTTTCAATTTAAGGATTAATCTCCATGTGATGTATAGTGTCAACATATATTAATATTTAACTTCAAAAAGCTCAGCTAAAGAACCTCCTGATTACCATTATCTGCCACTTACCATATATTTACAGTATCTAAGCATACTTACTTTGCCTAACTTCCAGTCAATGAATTAAATACATTTTAATGGAATTTACTGTTATTCTAAATGGAAAAAAGAAAAGCATTCTGCTTTCATCAATTATCTTCTGTGGGAAATATATATTTTATTTAATAAAGTGCTGAAATATACCAATTATATATCTATGAGCTGAACTATTAAAAAATAGCCACTAAGATGTTTTCATGATTTAAAAATGCAGGGATTTATTCATATGTCCTTTCATCTTTCTCTGTCTCATCTCGCTCAGTCACCTAACTGGAATGCAGTGGTGCGATCATAGCTCACTGCAGCATTGAATTCCTGGGCACAAGTGATCCTCCCGCCTCAGCCTCCTGAGTAGCTAGGACTACAGGTGGGGGCCATCAGGTTCAGCTAATTTTAAAATTTAATAGTAGAGATGGGGTCTTGTGATGTTGCCCAGGCTAGTCGTGAATTCCTGGCCTCAAATGATCCTCCCTCTTCAGCCTTCCAAAGTGTTGAGATTACAAAGGTAAAATTTCACCTTGATTTCAAAAAAGATTTCTCAGTAGAAAATTGTGGCCAGGCATGGTGGCTCACACCTGTAAAACCAGCACTTTGGGAGGCCAAGAGTGGATCACTTAAGGCCAGGAGTTCGAAACCAGCCAGGATAACATGACAAAACCCCATCTTTATTAAAAATACAAAATTTAGCTTGGCATGGTTCACATATCTGTAATCTCAGCTACTCAGGAGGCCGAGGTGGGAGAATCCCTTGAACCTGAGAGGTTGAGGCTGCAAGTGAGTCGAGATTGTGCCACTGTACTCCAGCCTGGATGACACAGCAAGAGTGTCTCAAAAAAAAAAAAAAAAAAAAAAAAAAAAAAAGAATTGTACTCGCCTATGTGGATTTTTTGGAGACTGTCATTAGGTGACCCCTTTGAGGTGGACAACAGAAGATGTACTGTAGGAACATATAATTTACCTTTAAACAGGTGTGTTCAGAAAGAGTAGCCATGATCCAGTCCCTAATAAGAGAGCAGTCATAGATAAGAAGTGTCCTGAGCAGGCAGCAGCTTCAGTGCGGTCAATTATTACAGCAGATGTCAAAGCATTCGCATAATTGCATTACAGTGTGACACTGGGAAACATCAATCACTGCCGGTAGGTAACATCATGATTTCTCTCTACATCTGTTAATTACTCAGTGAGCTCCTTTTGAAGGAAAAGTGCAGCCATTTTGGTCAACTAATTTTCTAAACGTTTTTATCAATCAAATCTTGTTCATGAAACAAAAGAACATTTTATCTGACATCATTAAGGAAATGAGGTATCATGAATACAAGTATTTTCCAGATAATGAAAATTTTCTGCTTTGAAGCTCAACTATTTTACATTGAAATATTTCTAAGATATAGCTCAGACCTCCTTACTTTTGTAAAAACATATTTAGAGAATTGGATTTTTTTTTTTTTTACTTGGAGGTCACTACTATTTTTATTTATTTGAGACAGGATCTTGCTTTGTTGCCCAGGCTGCAGTGCAGTGGTGTCAACATGGCTCACTGCATTCTCAACCTCCTGGGCTCAAGTGATCCTCCTGTCTCAGCCTCCTGAGTAGCTGGGACTACAGGTGCACACCACCATGCCCTGCTAATTTTTGTATTTTTTGTAGAGATGAGGTTTTGCTACGCTGCCCAGGCTGGTCCCCAACTCATGAGCTCAAGCGATCCACCCACCTCAGCCTCCTAAAGCGCTAGTATTACAGGCATGAGCAACCACATTCAGTCAAGGTCACTGCTTTAAATCAATATTATATGGTACCTTTAGGATATTACACATATACGTAGTAATTCCCACCCATCTTTTGGGTCTCAGTTTAAACTTTCCTACATCTGTAAACATTCCTTAACACCCCAAATGTGGGTTTCAAGCAACATCCATAACTTCCTGTACTTCTGTCTTTATAATTTATTCTCCTTGATTATAATCATCTGCATATTTGTGTGATTTTTCCTAGCACATTATGATTTCCATTACGGCAAAGATCTTCTCAGTCTTGTTTACATGGAACAGTAACTGGCATAAAATAGGCAATAATTAAATGTAGGTCTGAATTTTATTCTACCACATTTGGTATAAAAATGTCACATATTACTATTTTTAAGAATAATAACTCTGAGTTGAGTTACTTTTTTCCCATTCCTAGTTCATAAGAAATTCAATCTGTGTCATGTATGAAAAGTTTCCTCCCTTTATCTAGGGTTATCCAATGATAGTGAGACTCTTAAATTATACAAAACAATTGGGAAAGAGCACAACGGTCTCAAGCCTTCACTGGTCACCTTTGATACGCACATTTTCCAAGCTCACAAAATCCTTCAAAGGCATGAGTGTCCACTGCTCCCACTGGACATGAGCTCTTATGTGAAACTGCACGCCCAACCTCTCTAGTGTACTATACATCACCCCCACCCCCAGTTCTTTCACCTTCTTGTAGAAAGTAAAATTCTAAATAAGCCTCTTGCCAGTCTCACAATTTAGGAATGTTCCCTCAAGTACCTGAAAGCCAGATGGCTGAAATGTAATGATGGAGGAAGATAATGCCATATCTCCCATCTCCAGGAGATTGTAAGTGTAATTTCAGCTGTCACTTGACTTCAAAGTCATAAAGATATGAGAAAATCAGCAATTTTATCTTGGAAACATAAGTGTAATGGGCTATACATAAAAGAGGAAGATTTATAATCTGTATAAAAGAGGAAGATTTCCTTCTGTCTTTACAATGTCTTTAATCAATTGCTTGTGATGAGCATTATTACATTCTAGTTCAAAGTTCTTTAATAATAAAATTGTTCTCTTTTCCTTCTATAATACCTTTAGAAAAAGGTTTTCTGAGTTTGGAGGGGATTTTTTTCTTCCCTTGGAACACTCTACAGACTCTGATTCCAACTACCTGTGGGACACTCCAACAACGAATCCTTTCCACAGTCTTTTAGTAAATGAGTATACTACCCTCCTTTCTATTGGCAATTGCCAACTGATGAGTTTTGCCATGCAGCATAAAAACCCCAAGGCAAAAGAACATGGCAAGAACCTGAATGGGAAGTGATGAAGATGTGACTTTGAGGATAAAACTGAAATCTATATGCTGGTTAGGAAGCCGCCGAAAAAAATTAGAACTTGTACTGAGAATTACTTTTTTTTTTTTTAATTACTCTTAGTGTATTGTGTTCTCATTCTTCCATTGCTCCTGTCCTAACACTGAAGCATGCTCTAAAAACCTCTTCAGACATTCCTTGATGTCCTGAACAAACCTGATTCCTAGAGACAGACTGTTGTAGGCACAGTCTAATTGCCTAGACTAATTGCCTCTTTAATCTTTGGTTTTAAAAGATTTAACTTAATTGTATCTTTAACTTAGGCATTTTTCATTATAATACAGGCTCCTATACCTTTGTTTGCTTAGTTTTCAATTAAAGCCTTCCATGGTGTCTGTAGAGCGAGAGGGTTAGAAATCTAGAGCTGTGGTTGGAGCCTATGTAATTTACAAATACAGTTGAGTTAGGACCACATGGTAGGAGGAGGTTCACTCTTGAGTCTCTGGACAGGCAATATGACTCCAAGATTCGTTTTGCGGCATTACCTGCACAGACTAGCATTAATAATTGAAAACCAAAGCCACTGAGAATTACTTTTAAGGACAAATAAAAATGGAAAATAAGGCCGGGCACGGTGGCTCACACCTATAATCCCAGCACTTTGGGAGGCTGAGTGGGGGTGGATCACTTGAGGCCAGGAGTTTGAGACCAGCCTGGGCAACATGGTGAAACTCCATCTCTACTAAAAATACAAAAAATTAGCCAGGCCTAGTGGTGCATGACCTGTAATCCTGGCTACTCAGGAAGCTGAGGCAGGAGAATCCCTCGAACCCGGGAGGTGGAGGTAGCAATGAGCCAAGATCGTGCCACTGCACTCCAGCCTGGGTGACAGAGCGAGACTCCTTATCAAAAGAAAAAAAAGAAAAATAAGAGGCTTAATTTTCCCTGTTGAAAATAAGGAAAACTCCCCAACCCTACTTTTTTTTTAAAGAGCAATTACTTTGGAAAACTTGTACTAAGTGCTTTCTCCTCTCTTTGAAATGTGTAGATACTCTTTTGAAAACTAGATAGATCTTTTGTCAGCTTTGTGACCCAGTGAAGTCTTTCTCAAGAACCTGGGAGCCATCTCTTTGAAATGTAATAATCAAGGAAGATAGTACCTCTTATTTCCCAGTATCTGTGGGAATGTAGGAGCCTAGCTTTGGTGGGCACCTCACTACAAATTGCAAAACTACCTCCTGTTATAAAGATATGAGAAGTTTGTTTCTTTTCTGGATAAAGCCAATTAACTAAGACAATGCAGGAAGGTTTTCAGGCATCTCTTCCACCAGAAGGTCTACAATAAAAACACAGTGACAACACTTAATTATAACGTGTACGGTGACAGTGGTTGCTTGGTACAATATCCTCATTTTATAGGTCAGGTAACTGAGGCTTGGATACTTTATGATTTGCTGTGTTGAAAGTTACCCAGACTTAGAGAGGAAGTTCTAACATATTTGTTTTATTTTATTGTATTACAAATAGATGTGGCAAAGAGAAAATATGAAATATAGAAATAAAATGTAGTACAAAGAACATGGAATTCCAGGTTTCTCTCTAAGTTTGAATTCTTTATATGTGATCTTTGCCTTTAATATTGTAAGTAAAACTTTTATTGATGTCAGGTCTGCAAACAATATCCTTGTTGATATAAAGGAATTTTTATTGAAATCCCATATCTAAGAATAAATTTAAGTATACCTTGCTCTGTTTTTTAATACACTTATACACTGGTTTTAAAGGAGTCTTGCTTTGTAGGCCCATGCTATTGAGCTATTTTTATGTGAAATTACCAGGTTTATAAGCAGAAGTATATTGAGGCAATAAAAAGGAGCGTAGGGAAAACTGGCAACATACAGCCTTTGTGGGTGTTTACATTTTAAAACAGATGGAAAACTAAATATTTAAAGTCATGTTTTCCAATTACAAATAAACATTTTAAGAGTAAAACAATTACATTTTGAAAATCCTGATAAAAGCATTCTTTCAAAGCATTTATTTGCTCTTTAGATAAATCTGGTCTTTAAAAACCTAATAAAATGGTTTCTTCAATACAGGAAATGTTGCCATTTTGATATTTCAATTATAGCCTCCTTAAGAGACAGAAATATTTGTGTTTTGCTAAATGTATCAACATCTTGCTGACACACTGTCAAGTTCAGGGCTCAAGACATCATCAACAATGTAGCCTGACTGATGGGAAAATGGGAAAAGTGCTTTAGAGAAGATGCGTGAAAGCAATTTTTATAGCAAATTATTGATGGAAAATGAACATACATATAGAGTTCCTAAATAAAAGTAGAAATGTAAACTTAGTTATGTAAAGATTGTTTTGTTTTCCTGATTTCTATGTTAATTGTATCACTTCTGTGGAAACACCTACACAAAACATATTTAGGGAGTTTCCCCCCAGTGCTGAGATTGCTCTATGAGTCTGCTGTCACAATTAAACAAATATAGTAAGAAGACATTTATTCACAATATGTCTGCAAATTACTGCCAGCTGTCTTGGAGACCAAGAGTGCTTGTGTTTAGAATTGTCTTAAACAAGGAACTGGTTTCTCTTTGTGTAATTTTTAGCTGTAGCCAAGTTCACTTTTAACTTTTTACTATTACCAGTTTGCAGGCAGAAAGGTTATTTTCTGTTTCATCGAGCAATCATTTGAAAAAATGTCTGACTTATACAGCATAAAAGTGATATCCCCCCTATTAAAACTCTCTGGATATACATTAAAGAGTTCCAGGAGAGCTGGCACAGAACATAGTTGGTGGGGCCATCTCCTCATGTTTCTATCTGTGGGAGGAAATTCAAAACAATTACACAACTGCCCTTCAGCTGGAGTCAGGCTTTCATTCTCTCTGTCCTAATATTTCCACTGGTCTTTCAGATATCTAATCTGCCCTTCCCAAGGTGGGATTTCTTTGAAAAGAAATATCTAACTCCCATAATAGTTGCTCTTCTTTGTTCCAAACTGTGCTGCATGTATAGCACCTGTCCAGAAAGATGTTAATAGGTATTTTGAGTAGTAAAGAGCTTTAGTTAGAAATCAGTTTGGGTGTGCTGCTGGTAAGCCCCAGCTTGGGTGGGGGGATCACTGTATCAGGGCCTGTTTGCCCCTCTAGCCCTGCTGCTGCTGCAGGCAGCTTCACATAGCTACAGGCTCACCCCCTGACAGAGTCCGGCTTCAACTGCATGAAGTCTTTATCCAGGCACTCTCACATGCAATATGGAAAGCCCAGGGAGTTAACCCCTGATAGGGCCACACTTGGCTAATGGGCAACAAGACCAAGAGGATAAAAGCTCCTTTCTTCCACCTCTTAGGTGGGGTGTACAATGTTGAGGCACATTCTCTGTGGCCCCTCAGGGGGTTTCAGGGAGATCTAGCCCAGTTTCCCATAGCAGTGGCAGTCTCAGTA